>NC_000005.10:180726030-180876476 GCF_000001405.40 Homo sapiens | reverse complement strand
CCATTTGTTAATCATTTATATCATATTTTTACTGTGTCTTTTCTATGTTTGGATATGTTTAGATACACAAATACTCACCATCATATCACAGTTGCCTACAGTATTCAGTGCAGTCACATGCTGTACAGGTTTTTAGCCCCAGTACAGGTTTGCCGCCCAGGACCAACAGGCTGTGTCATACAGCCTGGGTGTGTAGCCGGCTGTGCCATCTCGGTTTGTGTAAGCGCGCTCTATGATGTTCACACAATGATGAAATCATCTCACAACACATTTCTCAGAACGTATTCCTGCCATTACATGATGCACGACTGTATTTAAAATTGTAAGCCTTTTATAGTAAGGGAGTCCAAGGGCCTATCACCAGATGAATGTTAGCTAAGACAAATAGTCATTCCCTGGCACATTGAACTTTCTCAGGCAGGCACTTGAAGGAACGCTGGTTTTATCTGAGGGACATGGCCTTACGCTGTTAGAAGCCATGCTAGAGTTTGGTAAAGTCTCTCAGAGCTTGACCAAAGTTGTCATGTAGTGAGAGTTCTGCCGTTTTCACCTGCAAAGTCTTCCCCAGATGCTTCTGTCCATCCTCCCAACACTTTTTTCTTCTTTTTTTTTTTTTTTGCACGAGTTTTGCTCGTGTTGCCCAGGCTAGAGTGCAGTGGCGCAGTCTCGGCTCACTACAACCTCCACCTCCTGGGTTCAAGCAATTCTCCTGCCTCAGCCTCCCGAGTAGCTGGGATTACAGGCCTGCGCCACCACACCTGGCTAATTTTTGTATTTTTTTTAGTAGAGACTGGGTTTCTCCACGTTGGTCAGGCTGGTCTCAAACTCCTGACCTCAGGTGATCTGCCTGCCTCGGCCTCCCAAAGTGCTGGGATTAAAGGTGTGAGCCACCACACCCGGCCTCTTCTAACACTTTTTATTTCTGTAGTGTTAACACTCCTGTGGACGTTTTGTCTTTGTTTTTCACCCCAGTCCACACCTCTGCTGTTAGTGAGGGGCTCCTGGTCATCACAGCCACATGTGGACTCCCCTGCTCTGTACCTCCCAGCCTTTCTGCCAACAGCACTGGCCTCACAGTGCTGTCCTGGGGATTGAGTGAGATAGCTATAATGTGGTAAGCCCCACACTTGACACAGGAGGCTCCTAGCAGAGGCTGGCCTCAGTTAGTTAGTGGGGATGTTGGCATGTGCCTTCCCCTGTTTCTGAGTCCTGCCAGCCCCGCCAAGGGACTCTGCCACAAGAAGGCAGAAATTCCGTCTGTCTGCCTTACCAGACTCACGCTACCCAGACTCACAGCTGACTGCTCAACACATATGCTGGCTCAGTCAGTCACAGCCGGTAATCCTGTGTATCATGACTGAACTCTCCACGTAGACAGGCATCTCCCTTCTGCTTTCCTTGGTTCCTGGGAAGCTGAATTCGTAGACAGACGAAATGGAGGGTGGGAAAGGAGGCATACGAAGAGGGTGTTAAGTCCACATAGGTTCTCCTGTGCCAGCCACACAGGAGTGAAGAGGGCTTTGTTTATAAAAGATATAAAAAGCAAACAGACTAAAATATTTAAATCCTACCAACTAGAAGCAACTGCTCAACACTTTGACAAATTTCTTCGTCGCTTTTTTGTCCAAAGGTTCAGAAGTTTCTGTGTGTCTTTGTAAATAGATACCTTGTTTACAGCATATCCAGCTTTTTATCCCATTCTTTCTTTCCACGTGAGATTTTTCCACATTACTCTCATGCTCGCTGCCTCCCTGTTTTCAGCAAGCTATTGTTTCTCAGAAGCTCACATAATTCCTTGAGAAGTTTATGGCAGATACACTCTTAGGTACTGTCAAAAGACAAAATTACACAAATTTGTTTTTAAGATCTAATTGGCTTTTATGAATGAGGGAAGCCTCTATTCTTCAAAATAGAAGGAGAGCTCCCACTGGGCAATAGCAGAACTGTGGGCTTTGTAAGGTGGGAACGAGGAAACAGAACAATAGAAAAAAATCAGATTGCTTAATATCAGGTTACTTCAGGTTATTTTCTTGTAAGTTAAAGCAGAGGGGACTTCTTCATTATGCTGACTCAGGTAAACTGAGGTCTTTCCAACTGGTTGGTGTGACTTTCCTGTTTTCAGGAAAAAACAGTTTGTTTGGGGATCTACCTGCTTCCTTAGAATTTCAGTCTGTAGTCCCAGCTACTCGGGAGGCTGAAGCTGGAGGATCGCTTGAGGCCAGGAGTTCAGGCAGGTCAGTGCTGGTGAACCAGACCAGTGGGGTCAGTGAAGACCTAGGCTGACACCATGTATTAGTCAGGATTCTCTGGCGAAAGAGAACCAAGTAGATGCAGAGATAGAGACTGACTTATTTAAGGAACTGGCTCACGCAATTATAAAAGCAGCAAGCCTCAAGATCTACAGGGTGAGTCAGCAAGCTGGAGATCCAGGAGAGCAGATGGTTTAGTTCCTGTCTGCGGGCTGAGTGAAATAGCCAATGCCCTCGTTTGAAGGCTGCTAGGCAGGGGGAGTTCCCTCTTGCTTGGCAGATCAACCTTTGTGTTCTTTTCAGACCTTCGTCTGAATGGATGAGGCCCACCCACATTAGGAGCAACAATCTGATTTCCTCAGTCCCCCCAGTCTCATGCAAAACACCCCACAGAAACACCAGAAGATGTTGCCCAAAGATCTGGCCCATCAGGTTGACACCAAATTAACCGTCACACCCGTCTCCTACTCCGCCCTCATCAGCCAGCCGCCTTTAGGGCCTCCTGGGTGTGGCTTCATGGTGACAAGACTGGAGGAGGCCCAGGCATCACATAGGAGGACGCAGGAAGAGGCAGTACCAGCCAGTTCTTCTCTGTGCTGTTTTGTTTGTTTTGCTTTTGTTTTGAGAGACAGGGTCTGATTCTGTCACCCAGGCTGGAGTGCAGTGGTGCAGTCTCGGCTCACTGCAACCTTCACCTCCCAGGCTCAAGTGATTCTTCCACCTCAACTTCCCGAGTATTTGGGACCACGGGCACTTGCCACCATGCTTGGCTATTTTTTTTTTTTTTTTTTGATATTTTTGGTAGAGAAGGGGTTTCACCATGTTGCCCAGGCTGGTCTTGAATTCCTGAGCTGAAGAGATCCTCCTGCTTTGGCCTCCCAAAGTAAGCCACCATGCCAGGCCTGGTTTTCTTTTTTAATCTTAAAATCTTTCCCAAAGCTCATATCAGAGTTCCCCACACATCTCAGTGGCCACACAGGTCACCTGGCCTCCTTTAGCTGCAAGCAGGGAAATTGAGTATCTGGGAAAGGAGAATGGGAGTCGCTGTGCTTGTTCATCTTACATCAATTCTGATTGGTCTGGGCGTGTTGCTGCTTGGAAAAATTCTGGGGCTCTGTTAGTCAAACAGAAGAGAAGTGGGGATGGCTACCGGGGAGCTAGACAATAGCATCAGCCACAGGTGACAAATGGAAATCCCGAACCAGTCCTGCTCTTTCAGCTTTGGATCTGGGACGAGCATAACTCAGTCACGTGTGTAGAGACAGTCTCTTGGCTTACTTTATCAGGAGCTGATTCTCTGTATTATGCCTGGAGCTTTATATTTTAATTCCCGTATAGCAGCCTTCTTCCTCTTTCTGTGTCTCATGGGGTGGGAGGGTGTCTTGCTGTGGACCCCATGGCCACAGCTGAATTGAAACTTCCCCCAGTGGAGGGTGGAGGTCTTGAAACTGAGCATCCACCTTGGTGGCTCTGTTTTCTACCCAAATCCCAGAGACAAACCAGCCATTCAGCACAGCAGGTGCCCCCGCCACAGTCGAAAGCCTCACACGGCTGGTCCTGGCAGGTGTCCTGGATGTGCTCAGGTGATCCTGTGTCGCCTCCCTGACCTGACAACCCATCCACTAACCAAGTGCCCCATGATGTGCCCTGTCTGGGACGGTGCCAGGTGCCATGTCTATGAGATACAGATGAAATATCACGTTTTCAGGATTCAAATTTTCCATCAGATTGTGCTTACGCCTGTGAAGTAAAGTCCCGCAAGCTGAGAGTTTCGGATCTCTAACAAAAGATGCAGTTCAGCTGCCATTCTTGGTACCCCAGCACCCTCCCACTCCCACCACACACACACACACACACACACACACCCTCGTTGGCCTGACCTTCAGCATGATCACTGCCTGGCTTCGGGCAGAGCCTCTGTCAGTCGAGTTGCTACTGCCCTCAAGGGCAGTACAACTTCATATGTACACTTCATAGTGTGCTAAGACCCTGCACTTAATACAACATAGTATAATCCCTTATATGTCTACAGGCTGTGCTACTAGGGAGCTTGTGGTCTGGCTTAAAGTTTTATGACCTCTGAAAAATTTAAATGTACTTGGACATGACAATAGCCAGACAGGTCAATGTAACTAAATAGGTGGCCCATGACAAGCCCTTTTCTAGATAATGATTTAATACGATAAATTAGTTCAATGGGGAAGTTAAATGAGTAAATGGTAATGGGGCAATCAGTTCTTCGTAGGGAATGGAAACTCATGTTCCAAAATAAATTCAAGGGAGACTGTTGTAGTTTGAAAATATTTCCAGAAATTCTTTTATATTCCTGCTTTGAAGAGTTGGAGTTTAGGTCCTTTCCTTGAGTGTGGGATGGACTTAGTGATTTGCTTCTACTGGAGTAACATACGGCAAAAGCGACGGTGTGCACCTTCAGAGACCAGGGCATAAAAAGCGCCATGGTCCAGTGTCACCCTCTCTCTTGGATCACTTGTCATGCCATGAGGACACTCAAGCAGGCCTGTGGAGGGACCTGTACTATGAGAAACTGAGGCCTCCCACCAGCAGCCACGGGAACGAGCCAATTTGGAAGCAAATCCTCCAACTCCAACTGGGCTATTTCTCCAAATGACTGCAACCCCAGTCCACACCTTCAGTACAGCCTCGTCAAAGACCTTGAATCAGAGCCACTCAGTTAATATGCATTCAAATTCCTGGCCCACATAAACTGTGAAATAATAAATGTTTGTTGTTTTAAGCCACCGAGTTTTGGGGGCAATTTGTTATATGGTAATAGTTCATTAATTAAAAGATCAAAGGGAAAAATATTTTAAAATTAATTTTAAAAAAAACAGAACTGGGCCTTGGAGGAGAAAGGACCTCTAAACTTTAATGAAGGATTCCTGTATAACCTGAATATGGGTTTTGCCAGCCCACGCAACAAATGAGGCCACATCGGCCACGTCATTGGATGATGCCAGCTTGTGGGCCAGAGTGGAGTGTGGCCATAGGGCATCTTTTCCCCTTTTTGAAGTTTCCTGACTATGGCAAGACTGCCAGTATTCACCAAATATCCACGAGATCTTCTAAGCCCTGGCCTCCTTTGCAGTTAGAACGGAGCTGTGTGACCTGGTTCTGGCCAAAGAGAGGTGGTTGTAAATGACGTAATTGCACTTCTGGGCCTAGCCCTTAAAGCATCCCATGGGGTCTTCCAGCCTTCTCTTCTCTACAGTGGCAATTCTGAAGGCCACACATTCCAGATATTATGGCTGCAAGACAGAAGAGAGCAAACTGACTTACAATGAAGTTTACGTGAAGAACAAATAAACCTTCTTGTCTTAGGCCACCGGGAGGGAGGGTGTATTTGTTACTGCAACCTCGTCTAACTATGCTGACTACACCATTGCGCTTTTCTAGCATTGCTGGGTCTTTGAGGTATTCCATGTGTCCTCCAGGGCCAGTCCAGATTGTGTGTGTCTACACTGCTGTCACCTCCAGTTTAGTAACAGTGCTTTGTACTCGGGACCCTGGTGCGCACCACACAGGCAGATATGAACGTAAGCCTTTCTTGTAATTTTCCCTTAGTCCAGTCACAACCAGACCATCATGCTTCAGAAGAGCTATTGTTCGGAGAATAACCTGCCACAGGCTACCTTCCACACCCACAGACCCTGGGCAGTCCCGTGGGGCCCCTACGGGGCACTCCCTGCCAGCTCCTGACCTGCTCCCTCAGTGTTTCTCTGGACTCCGACACAGCCAGACCCAGAGAGAGGGAGGGGTCAACCACTGACCCAGCTAAGGCTGCACTTTTCAAGTCCTCAGATCCCGCCCCAACATCTTCCGCTTCCCAGGGAGATAGAGAAAGGTGATCCACTCCCCTCAGGAAGACACGGTACCTCCGGGAGTGTGACCACAGCAACACCAATCATGAAAACTCAGATAGTGCATACTGTATGGCGTCATAAGATCTGAGCCTCAAGACTGCCCAGCTGTGAGTCCTGGGACAGTTTTCTTACCCTCTCTGTTCCCCCATCTGTAAAATGGGGATGTATGCAGTGCTGTCATCAATGGGTTATTGACAAGATTCAATATATCAATATGTATGTTCTAAGTGCCTTACATATGCTAATTTAATTTTCACAACTCTGTGAAGTAGGTATTATTATTACCTATATTCCAGATGAGGGAGCAGAGACCAAAGATTACACAACTGCCCAGTCCCATAAGAAACCCAGAGCCCAACACAGATTCAAGAAAATACCTTGGAGCAGGTGCCATTTTTCACCAACTCTCCGTCCAAATTAGGGAAAGACAGCTCCTTTGATTTTCTCCTTTCCCAAGGTCTTATGAAACTGTGAGTTAATCCATGTGTACAAGAGGACATCCAGTTCTCTTTCTTTTAAAACAAAAATTTCCTCCTCCTGCCAAGTTGGCAGAGGCTTGTAAGGGTGGTGTCCTAACAGCCTCCTGTTTGGTCTTGGCACTCTGTGGCTTGTGAACAACAACCAGAGATGAATATATCTACAGGAGGAGAACAAGCAGCTGGGCTTGAACCAGCAGGTGCCCAGGCCAGAGCATTTCAAAGATGTCAAAGATCACAGCCTCAAAACTACCAGCTGTGTGTCCTGGGACAATTTGCTTTCCCTCTCTGTTTCCCCTTCTGTAGAACAGGTATATGTATGTGCATATATATATATATATATATATATATATATATATATATATACACACACACACACACACACACACAGTGCCTTCATCAAAGGGCTGTTGAGAAGATTCAATGTATCTATATATATAAAGCATTTAGAAGAGTGCTTGGCACAAAATAAGCCCCATAAAATTTCTCGCTGTTGTTGATTATCATTTTAGATGTAAGTGTCAGTCAGAACTCCTGACACAGACATCTCCCTTTCCACAGGACCCAGAAATGATAACAGTAGGAGGCTGCTTGCTCCTTCTAGACCTTTTCCCAGGGACTGTGGGTTATCCCTTAAGAGCCTCTGGTAACAGGTTTCTCCAGATTCATCCCACGGTCCCTTCCAGCTCAACAGCGCCACCTGCCACACAGATTTTACACATCCATGTAAAGCTTGAGGGATGAAAGGAAATTGTTGGTGTTAAAGGGCAAGCAGGAAAGAGAACAGCAATTGATGGCCAATTCAAAAGGTGAACTTCTTTAATAAAGAATGTGTTCCCACAATGGACACAAACTCTACAAAAGGTACCGAAAGACTTGATGTAAGGACAGGACAGGCAGTCCCTGGGAGAGATGGCTCAATTGGGTGACACACATGATAGAAGGGTAAAGAAAATTAAACAACCAGACACTATTTGCTGCCTACAAATTTAGAGAAAAAACAAACCTGCCACAACCCAATCCTGGGGAGGTGAGTGAGTAAAGAGCTTTTACTTATAGTTGGAAACTTTATAAATTGAAATACTCCTTCTTGAAGTAGTAGTTTAGCAATCTGATGCAATTTAGGATTATTTATGTTTACATATAATTTTTGAATAAATACTATATTCTCGTGGTTCAAAATGCAGGAGTATAAAGACGATATGCACTGAAAATTCTCCTTCCCACCCTTCTCTTCCAGCCACCCAGGTGCCTCCTCACCGACAGCCCCGGTTAGTGGTTTCTGGTGTGAACTTTCAGGAACATTTTTATGAACATACACAAATATGTACACATTCATTTCACCCTTTCTTATGCAAATTATAACATAGCTTGGCACATTGATTTCTTTATTTCACATGCATCTTGGAGATTTTCCCATACCATTTTATAAAGAGGCCCCTCTTCCTTTTTTATGGCTGAAAGTAGTACATTGCATGCTGTTATGGGTTGAACTGTGTTCCCCCAAAATTCGTATGTTGAAGTCCTAACCCCAGATACTTCCTAATGTGACCTTATTTGGAAACAGAGTCATTGCAGATGTATTTAGTTAAGCCGAGGTCATGCTGGAGTGAGTAGTTTAGGGCCCTAATCCGATATAACTGGTCTCCTTAAAAAAGGGAGAAATTTGCACACAGGCATGCATGCAGTGAGAAGGCTGTGTGTGATGGTAAAGGCAGAGACTGGGTGCTGTGTCCACAAGCCAAGTGTAGCAGGACAAGTCGCAGACAAAACTCCTCAGACACCGGATTAAAGAAGGAAGAGGTTTTTATTCGGCCGGGAGCATCGGCAGACTCACGTCTTAAGAGCCGAGCTCCCCGAAAAAGAAATTCCTAGCCCTTTTAAGGGCTTACAACTCTAAGGGGTTCACGTGAAAGGGTCATAATAGATCAAGTAAGCGTGAGGAACGTGACTGGGGGCTACACACATCAGCTAACAGAACAAAAAGTTTTACAGTGCTTTCTCACACAATGTCTGGAGTTTACAGATAACACCAGTAGTTTTGGTCAGGGGTTATTATTATTATTATTATTATTATTATTATTATTATTATTTTAACCACCAGGGCCAGGTGGTGGCGCCAAGGTCGTCTCGCTATCTTCTGTTTCTTTCCAACTCTGTGCTTTCTCCCTTTTCTCCTGTCTTATAAACTAGGGAAAAGGGGAGGTTGGGGAGAAGCTGGGAAGGACAACAGGAGAAGTGGTGGTCTCCGTCCAAAGGAACACCAAGGATTTCCATCAAACCACCAGCAGCTAGGTACAAAACGTGGAACCGATTCTCCCTCACAGCCTCAGAAGGAACCAAACTTGCTGACACCTTGATCTCAGACATCTAGCCTCCAAAACTGTGAGACAATAACTTGTTCCTATTTAAGCCACATTGTGTGGGGTACTTTCTTACAGCAGCCCTGGAAAACTAATACACGTGAATGTACAATAATTTATGTAATCACGTCTTTAGTTTGGACCTTTAGGTTTTCTCCATCTTTTACTTTAGACACACTATTGTGAATAACCTTTTCACACACCATTTCATGAGTGTGTGACTATACCAGCAGGGTAGACTCGTAGAGGAGAATTGCTGCGGCAAAGAGTACGTGCACGTCCATCCACACCGCACGCTGCCTTCCCTGGAGGTGAGGTCCGTCAACACCCCACCAGCGGGGAAGAGTGCTTTCCCCACCATGCTGTCACCACCACAGCGTGGATCAAACTCAGGATCTTTGCCATTCTAATAAGAGAAAAATTGTATTTCCATGTAGTTTGGGCTTGCATTCTTTTTTATTTTGAATCATTTGTATAAGCTTTCCTGTGAGCCCATTTTTCCACTGGGTTGTTCAGGTTTTCAATTTTGGAGAAGCTCTGTGTATCAGGGAAATTTGCCCTTTGTGATATAACATGCAAATATTTTTTCCCAGTTAGTCATTTGATTTTTTTACTTTTCTTGTAGTGGTTTTGCCACACGGAAGTATTTTATTTCTATGTGTTTGAATTGCTCTATCTTTACTTTTACAGTTTTTGGATTTTGCGTTATAGTAAAAAGGAAAGAAAGAAAACAAAAACCCTCCCTCAGTCCAATATGAGCAAAGCAATCTCCTGCAGTTTTTTTTTTTTCTTTGTAAAATTTTATGGAAGTGGGAGCAGCTGCCAGGATGGTTGGTGTGTGTGCATTTCACAGTTCAGTCTTAGATACACCTGGCATTCATCCTGGTGTAAGGGCTGTGGTTTGAATCCAACTTCATTTTTTCCCCAATGCTTCCCAGCTGTCCCTGTTCTGTCTTTGCCACTAGTTTGAAATGCTAGCTTTACCAGATGCCGAATACCCATGACTGTTTAGGTCTATTTCTAGACTTTATATGTATGTCTCAGAATTATACCAGCTTAATTATTAACGTGCCTTAATAGTGCCTTGCGTCATTCATATTTTTATAGGCATTTTCTAGCTAGAAACAAGCAAGAGTCTGTTAAATTTGTCCATGTGAACTTTAGAATCAGTTGTGGGTTGCCAAAGGAGATTCTATTGCTAGCTTTTATCAGGATCATGACAATTATACTTTACAAGAAATGACTGTTCTGATGTCAAGTGTTTCCATTCATGTGAATGGAACATCCAAGAATCTTTCCATAAGTTTAGTTCATCCTCTATGTCCCCAGGAGCACTGTAAATTTTCTTCATATGGGTCTTGCACGTGAGTCATGAATTCCTGGGCATTTGGTCTTTTGTTTGTTTCTATTGTAAATGTAGTCTTTCCTTCCATTATTCCAACTGTAGTTTCTATATAAGGAAACTTGATTTCTATATGTTAATTTTGAAAACACACCTTACAGCATTCTCGTTTTTTCTAGTTTTTTCAAGTTAATTCTTGTGAGTTTTCCAAAAATGAAATCATATCTGCAAATAAGACAATTACACCTCTGCTTTCCAATGTTTATATTCTGACTTCTTTTTTCTTTGTTTAATCCAGCTGCAATGGGAAATAATAGTACTGATGAGTAACAACCTTGTCTAGTTCTTTACTCTGATTGTTTCCAGTGTTTACCTATTAAGCTTATTAGTGTTTCTAATTCCCTATTGTTCTTATTTTAAGACTCTTAAAAATGTCTGTCTATTGAACCAGTGATTCCTCTTCTTGTCAATTATTCCAAGGAAAATACGATGAAAGCGTTCTGCACGCTACTATCTAAAACAGCACTGATTTATTTTTTAAAAAAGACATACTTAGAAAAAACCTCTGTGAGTTATACAGAATAGTTAAGGAGACTGTAGTTTAATGGAATATCACAGAGAGTAAAAACATGAAAAATGCTAATGTATAATATTATTTGTAAAAATGCTATATAAAAATACAGATATAGTATGATTATGACACTATCTGAAAAACACTCACAAACTGGTGATAGAAAAAAGTTTACTAAGTTTACTAAGTAAGTTTACTAAGTTTACTAAAGTTTACTAAGTAAGAAAATTTACTAAATTATGGGCTGGGTGTGGTGGCACATGCTTGTAATCCCAGCACTTTGGGAGGCTGAGGCAGGGGGATCATTTGAGCTCAGTAGTTCAAGACCAGCCTGGGCAACATAGTAAGACCTTGTCTCTATTTTTTTTAAAAAAAGGAAAGTTTAGGCCGGGCGCGGTGGCTCACGCCTGTAATCCCAGCACTTTGGGAGGCCGAGGTAGGTGAGTCACCCAAGGTCAGGAGTTTGAGACCAGCCTGGCCAACATGATGAAACCCCATCTCTACTAAAAATACAAAAACTTAGCTGGGCATGGTGGTGTGCGCCTGTAATCCCAGCTACTCAGGAGGCTGAGGCAGGAGAATCCCTTGAACCTGGGAGGGGGAGGTTGCAGTGAACTGAGATCGTGCCACTGCATTCCAGTCTGGGCAACAAGACCAAAAACTAGTTTACTAAATTAAGAATAATTTTTCTGTTTTCCAGATTTAACATAATGAACTGATATTATGGTACAGTGGGAGGAGAGATTTTATTTTAAAATAAATTTGCCATTGGGCATGGTGGTTCACACCTGTAATCTCAGTACTTTTGGAAGCCAAGGTGGGAGGATCACTTGAGGCCCAGGAATTTGAGACCAGCCTGGTCAACACAGCAAGACCCTACCGCTGCAAAAAAAATTAAAAAATTAATCTGAGGCCGGGAGCAGTGGCTCACGCCTGTAATCCCAGCACTTTGGGAGGCCAAGGTGGGCGGATCACCTGAGGTCAGGAGTTTGAGACCAGCCTGGCCAACATGGTGAAATCTTGTCTCTACCAAAATACAAAAATTAGCCTGGTGTGGTGGCATGTGCCTATAATCCCAGCTACGTGGGAGGCTGAGACAGGAGAATCGCTTGAACCTGGGAAGCAGAGGTTGCAGTGAGTCGAGGTCGTGCCACTGTACTCCAGCCTGGAGGACACAGTGAGACTCCATCTACAAAAAAAAAAAAATATTTAATCTGGATCTAGTGGTTCACACCTATAGTCCTAGCTACTCAGGAGGCTGAAGCAGGAGGACTGCTTGAGCCCAGGAGACTGAGGTTGCAGTGAGCTATGTGATCACACCACTGCGCTCCATCCTGGGTGACAGAGCAAGATGCTGTCTCTAAAAAAAACAAAAATAAATCTGTGACCAAATTCAATGGCTAAACACAGAGTTGGAATTAAGCCCTATGGGCTTAGCTCAACATTAATTTGTACTTAAACCACTCCAAAGGGAGGTAGATGAGCCAGCAAAGCAAGAGCAAACCCAGACAACCTCACTGCTGCACCTATTGGCCTCCTAGAGCAGTGCTGTTCAATGGAAATGTACTGTGAGCCATGTATGTGACTTCTGATCTTCTAGATGCATTTAAAGTAAAAAGAAACAGGTAAAATTCATTGCAACCATGTATTTGATCTACCCCAATATAGTCAAAATATTATTTCAGCATGTAATCAACATTAAAAATTATTAATAAGATAGTTTACATTCTCTTTTCCTAAGTCTTAGAAATGTGGTGTGGATTTTACATTTACAGCACATCTCAATTCAGACTACCATAAGCTACATGTGAATAATGACTGCCCTACTGAACTCAGCTCTGATGTGTAGATATCTCTAAAAGTGTTAGAAAGGCAAGCATGTGTCTGTGTCTGTGTCTGTGTCTGTTGTCTGTGTGTGTTATGTAGACACAGGCCAAATGAAAGGTGCCTGCAATATAACAAGGCTCAAGGAGGAAAAGCCGTCATCTAAAATCAAAAGGATCCGACAGGCACGGTGGCTCACGCCTGAATTCTAACACTTTCAGAGGCCAAGACAGACGGATCACTTGAGCCCAGCAGTTCAAGGCCAGCCTGGGCAACATAGTGAGGCCCCATCTCTACAAAAAAGACAAAAATTAGTGGGGCTGTTGTGGCATGCACTTGTAGTCCCAGCTACTTGGGAGGCTGTGGTGGGAGGATCCCTTGAACCTGGGAGATCGAGGCTGCAGGGAGCCATAATCATGCCACCCTGACTCCAGCCTGGGCAACAAAGTGAGAGCTTGTCTCAAAACAAATAAATAATAAGATAAAATAAAAAGCATCTGACTCAAGATGATTTATGTGGGTTTCCCATAATCCCTTCCACACACACACCACCTTTCATTGAGCGAAGTGTTCCAACCCAGATATGAATATTTTTCTATCTTGCTGCCTAGAGGTAAAAACCCAGTCTTTGCCTACCATGAACCTTTAAGGGCAGCTTTAATTCTGGAGGCCTGTGAGGACCACCTGAAGCTCCTTCTAGAGCTGTGCTATCCAATAAGGTGGCCATTAGCCACATGTGGCTATTTACATTAAATGTAATTAAAAATTCAGATCCTCAGCAGCACTACCCACATTTCAAGTGCTCAACAGCTGCATGTGTCTCACTATCCTTTGGGGGCAGCTCTAACTCCCAATCCTCTGCTCGCTCTGGGGCTCTCACCTAAAGCTGCAGACCTGGGCCTGGGGCTCTGCTCCTCCTTAGGAGTCGCTGCTGCCTGCTAACTCGCCCAGACGTTCTTCGAGGTGGGTGGGGTTGTGGCGTGAAGCCCAAATGCCGTCAAGGGTCTTATTGCTACAATGAAACGCCCATTCCCTCTACTTGAGTGAACACAGTGTCTCAGCACCCACATGTATAAAAATGAAAAATAGGCGTCGAGCTGATGCCAAACACCGGCTCACCCCAGCAATATGTAAAATTCATTCAAATAATATAAATAATTTGAGCTGTAAAACAAAATCCATCTCATTACAAGTTGTGCTTCCAAAGCACTTCACTTTTTGTCTAAGAATTAACAGTAAACATTTTGAAATATTTATATAATTTTGCTAATAATCCAGAAAATAACACTAAGAAAAAATGTAATCTACTTTCGTTACGGACATATATGCTAGGATAAACAATAAACAATAAAACAATGCATAGAACTATTTTACACTAGGATAAAATTCAATGAGGCACATAGAATGAAAATATTTTTACAGTAGAATAAAAAGCCGGTGAGGGACATAAAAGTTCAAGGAAAAAAACCCTAAAAGATGTAAAACTTATGACTGTTAAAAGTGGATAATACCAAATCTTCAGGGATTTAGATTCCATTGGATACACTTGAAAGCAATTTTGTTCTTAATATTAACAGCATGCCAAAAATATACCCTTTGCAATTATTTAAACTTAATATGAAAAATATTTAGATGTTGCTGTTTTTAAAAAAGGCTGACTATAGCCAATAACTTAGTTGTATATTTAAAAATAAGAATATAATTTGATTGCTTGTAACACAAAGGATAAATGCTTGAAGTGATGGACACGCCATTAACCCTGATATGATTATTACGCATTGCATTCCTGTCTGTATCAAGATATCTCACGTACTCGACAAATAGGGACACCTACTATGTACCCACAAACATTAATTTAAAAAAAAAAAAAAGGTCTTCAAAGTCATTTTAGGCCCTGGGTTTGGAAGCCGACACCGGCGGTGGGGTGGGCAGGGGGCGAGGTCGCTGCCAAGCTGGCGCCCCGGGTGGGAGCGTGGCCCGGTCCCAGGGACGGCTCCAGGGGCGCGCTCCCACTCCGCATCCCCAGTGCCTAACCGGGGGCGCTTCTGGTGCTGACGACCAGGAAGGGCTGGTGCTCTCGGGCCAGCCCCCAACCAGCTGAGAAGGCAATGGGTCCCCAGCCCAGCGCTGTCCTGCGCCCCTCCCGGATTCCCCCATTTCCCGCCAGGCCCCCACTTCCGGGAACGTCCCCGCACCCACACCTGGCAATGAATCACGTGTTCAGGAACCAGGTAGGCAGGTATTTACTTTATTACCTGTGCCCCTCCCCCAGCCTACCCCAGAAGCTAATGGGCACGGAAACAGAAAGCCCCGCCCACGGCCTCCTGGCCGCGCCTGGAGCGCGCGCCCTGCAGCTGGTCCTCAATAAATAGCCGAGGAGGCGCTCCCCTCCCTCCCTCCCGCCGGCGCCGTCGGCCCGGACCATCGAGTCAGTCCTCCAGCGTCCCAGAGAGGGCGCGGAAGTGCCCCAGGGCCGGCGCGGGTTCTTCCGGCCGTGCGGTCCGCGCTTTTGTCCCGCTGGCGGCCGGGTTCCCGCGGCGCCGCCACAGCCAGTACGTGAGTCCGCGGCCGCCCGCGCTCCCGCCCCCGGCCCTTGCCTGCCACGCCCTCCCCTTTTTGGCCGGGTCTTGGCTGCTCCGCGGGTCTCGGGCGGGATGTGGGAGTAAGCGTGCCCCCTCCCCGCACATGTCTCAGTGGGTGCGTTTCTGGGGAGCGGAGGGGAGGGAAGACCTCGGGCAGGCAGAGGGGTGCAGGGCGCGCCCCTGGAACAGACTGGGCTCTGTGTGGGCCACAACTGCGACGTTTGAACGGACCAGCGTCATGTTAGGTCTGCTCAACGTTCCGAGAAGGGCCAGGGCCCCGCTCCGGTGTTCCTCAACTATTCATCCCTGTTTTGGATGGGAGGGGATCCCTAAAAATTAGCGCTTCAAAATACCCACCATTTCGTGCTCCCTCTGCAGTTAAGTTTGGTACTCTAGGACTTGAGAGTGATTGCGAGGGCAGAGAGACCTCTAGGGGTGATCTGATTCGACCTTCTTCCCCTCCGCTCCACCCCACCACCTTTTTTTCTTTTTTTTTTTTGGTCGGTGAGTGATGATGATAAGCTCCCGCTGCAGGTGTGAATAGAGACCCCGGAGGTGCGTCCTAGCCCTCATCTGGGGAAGCGCACCTGCATACAGACGGGTGCACCGGGGAGGAGGCGACCTGCCGCGTGTTCCTGCAAGCAGAAAAGGAGTTAACTAGGTAGGGAGAGGAAGGTCGAAGAGTTTCTTAGACCCAGGGGACAGCCTGCGGGAACCCAGGGGTGGGACGGAAAAGATCACTGGGGAATGCCAGGGCTGGGTGTGCTGCTCTAAGACATTTAAAGTAGTTGGCCAGCAGGAGCATTTCTTTGTGAAAGCTCAAGGCTTAAAAAAAATAATAATATGAAATATGTAATATATTCATATGGCTGGGATATTAAAAATATAAAAAGTTACCAGTGAAAGATTTCTTCCCATCCCGCTTAGGTATCTTCCTAGGCCCTACCCTCTTAGGTAACCACTTTTGTTCCTTTGTATCTTTTCCGAATTTCTGCAAATACTGGCAAATATAACTAGTTAGTTCCCCCTTTTTTCACACAGGTGATAGAAATCCTTCTAACTCCTTGATTCTTTCACTTTATCTTACTGGTCTCTACATGTCAGAACACAGAAGTTGTGTTTTGTTTCGTTTTGTTTTACAGAGCTGTGGTAAGTATTGGATGGGCCATTGTTTGGATGTTTTCGATGTTCTGTCCTTTTTTAGATCTATTCGGGGGCATTTGGGTTGTCTCCAATTTGTTGTTACTTCAAACAATGGTATACTCAATACAGTGTATTAGGGTAGGGATTTTTACAGAAGAAACTAAACAGCCGTTAGAAAATTATTTTTTTACATTAACTCAACCAGTTATTGGCAGATTGTTACATATGACAAGTCGTTATCAAAATCACTGATGTAGAGTGTTTAAAGAACAAATAAGACGTAAGTAGTTCTTCCCTTCTGAGACTTGTCCCTATATTTAGTGTTACACTAGCCTAATAGACTAATTGTGTCAATGACTCCAAGCCAGTCCCTGCCGGGTTTGATTCAGAAAATCAGCCTCCCTTTTAGTATCGCCTTTGCTCACCTCCTCCCCTACGACAACTAGAAATCTCTTCTCCACTACTTGGCATGAGAATGTTCTATTTCAGTTTTTTACTTTAAGGAAAAATCACCTTTCATTCTTATTTCTATATTTAAGCAATAGAACCAACTCACGTTAATCATATACATTCCTAATATTCATAAGACAAATGCAACAGTAGCTAGAACACAAACCATATTCTCTTCTCATCTGCATATCACTTCTCTGTTCCTTAGTCCCATCTTTCCTTTGTACATTTTGCCCCTCCTAGGTACTCTTTGTTCTGGGTTGGTAAGCATTTTGTCACTTTCTCTTGTCTTGTTTCCTTTCTTTGCTCATCTCCAAATCAAAGACAGTATCCAAGGATTTAAGGTGTAGAATCCACGCGTGAACCTTGAGGTGGTAGATTGTCTTGTGGAATATGGTTGGACTCTGCAAATTGAAAGTCGTTCCGGGCTAGTTGCAGTCTGTTAATAGGAAGGGGTTTTCGGCCAGAGCAGGCCACGGCTCCTCTCTAACGAGTTGTCTCGGCTCTTGAAAAGTGGCTCCTGAGTCTCGGAGGCAGAGACAGCAAGAATGTAGGGCCGGTTCTTAACTGTTTGCATTCACTTTTCTAGGCCTTGGCGATAAAGCATGAACAAGAAGCTCGGAAGAGTGCCCAGAGGTTGTTGGTCGTATGTAGTTTGGAAGGAGTGGGTGGCGTTCTATGTCTGACGCTTTTGGCTGATGTAACCAGGCTATTAGACTCATGCTGCGTGTTGAAAACTGGTTAGAAAGGGCTTGTCCATTCAGCCTTTAGAACTTTTAAGAAATTCAGGAGTTTCTGGGTCTTTATATGGAAGAGTTGTGTTTTGGGGGTAATTCCTTACTTGTGTCATCAGGGACACATGACTTAGCTACCAAATCAGTCTTGATTGGATTATAGTGACTTACTCCTGGAACTCCAGGACTCAGTCCTGTCTTGCCTCAATCCATTCTCCCACTGCAACTAGTGTGAGTGATCTTTCTTTTTTTTTGAGACAGAGTCTCGCTCTGTCACCGAGGCTGGAGTGCAATGGCGCTATCTTGGCTCACTGCAACCTCTGCCTCCCAGGTTCAAGCGATTCTTGTGCCTCAGCCTCCCAAGTCGAGTAGCTGGAACTACAGGTGTGCACCACCACATCTGGCTAATTTTTGTATTTTTAGTAGAGATGGATTCACCTCATTGGCCAGGCTGGTTTTGAACTCCTAGCCTCAAGTGATCTGTCTGCCTCAGCCTCCCAATGTGCTGAGATTACAGGCATGAACCACTGCACCTTGCCTGATCTTTTTAAAATATTTTTCTTTTTTTTCTTTTCTTTTTTTCTTTTTTTTTTTTTTTTTTTTTGAGACAGAGTTTCACTCTTCTTGCCCAGGCTGAAGTGCAATGGCACAATCTCAGCTTACTGCAACCTCCACCTTCTGGATTCAGGCAATTCTCCTGCTTCAGCCTCCCAAGTAGCTGGGATTACAGGTGCCCACCACCATGCCCAGCTAATTTTTTTTTTTTTTTTTAGTAGAGATGGGGTTTCACCATGTTGGCCAGGCTGGTCTCAAACTCCTGACCTCAGGTGACCCACCTGCCTCGGCCTCCGAAAGAGCTGGGCTTATAGGCGTGAGCCACTGTACCCGGCCTAAAGTTTTTTTCTTATGAACTTCCATATACCCATCACTTGGATTCAGCAATTATCAGGATTCTGCTGTTTAACTTTTCCCTTTTTAGTTTTTCCTGATTGAAATATTTTAAATTCCAGATTCCATGCCATTTCACTGCAGACTTCAGTCTGAATTTAAAAAAAAAAAAAAAAGGTCTGGGTGCGGTGGTTCACGCCTGTAATCCCAGCACTTTGGGAGGCTGAGACGGGTGGATCCCCTGAGGTCAGGCGTTGGAGACAGGCCTGCCAACATGGCAAAACCCCATCTCTACTAAAAATATAAAAATTAGCTGAGCATGGTGGCACATACCTGTAATCCCAGCTACTCGGGAGGCTGAGGCAGGAGAATCGCTTGAACCTGGGTGGTGGAGGCTGCAGTGTGCTGAGACGTGCCATTGCACTCCAGCCTGGGCAACAGAGCAAGACTCAGTCTCAAAAAAACAACAAAAAAAAAACAAAAGTTCTAACATAGCCACAATGCCGTTATTATACCAGCCTAAATTAGCTCTGATTCCTTGATATTATCTAACAGAGGTGGGCACACTGCTGGGCTTGTGGACTGTTTTTGTATGGCCTACAAACTAAGAATGATTTTTACACTTTTAAAGGAATGCTTAAACAAAAATAGTACTCAGCAGTTCTGTGTGGCCCACAAAGCCTAAAATATATGCTACCTGGTTCTTACAGAAAATGTTTGCCAACTCCAGTTTAATAAAATAAGTAATTTTTCCAAAACGCATATCCAAGTTTGCTACTCCTTTGCCCGAAGCTCCCGAGGATCAAGTCTGGACTCCTTATGGTTGCAGCCCTTGTCTTTGCCTACCTGTCTGATTTTCCCTTTGCCTGCCCCAGATGTCTTCGGGGGGTGAACACCAGTTCCTCTGTACCTGCTCTTCCCTTGGCACTCTTCTCTTCCTGAAGCTATTCCTGTAGTCCATCCCCCCTTTCCCACCCTCCATGTCCTGTATTTGCTTTTTTTTTTTTTTTTTTTTTTTTTTGAGACATAGTCTTGCTCTGTCACCCAGGCTGGAGTGCAGTGGCACGATCTCAGCTCACTGCAGGCTCGCCTCCCAGGTTCATGCCATTCTCCTGCCTCAGCCTCCCTAGTAGCTGGAGCTACAGGCGCCCACCACCATGCCCGGCCATTTTTTTGTATTTTTAGTAGAGATGGGGTTTCACGGTGTTAGCCAGGATGGTCTCGATCTCCTGATCTCATGATCTGCCCGCCTCAGCCTCCCAAAGTGCTGGGATTACAGGCGTGAACCACCATGCCCGGCCGCCTCTGTCATTTTTATCATATGGTTATTTTCCTACCAGACTCTCCTACTAGTCTGCAGGCACCTTGATGGCAGGGCCTTGTCATATCCATGTCTTTGGATAGGAATAGCCCGGGGCCTGGAAAACAAACAGGATGCAGACAATAGTCTTAAGTTCCTTGGGCAACACTTAGCCTCAGAAATAACTGATACCCTAGAATGCATCTCCAGTATTGTTTATAAGGATAACTTAATTATCCTTATGTGTTACATTCTTTGTATTGTCTTTATGTTTTAGCAGCATTTACTCTAGTGCTGTCTTGGTGCTTTTCTGCCTGTGTTTTTGATGGATCTTAGTATTGATTAACATAGATTTCATTTCAAGCCATCTATTTTCATTGAAGATGCATGTTTATGTTAATCCATTTTGATTTCACTCAAGAAGAGGATTGGATGAACTACATCAGGTGACGGGACATCATGCGCCCCAACCCAAACAGAGGGGTTTAAGCAGAGCCAGAACAGGGAGGCCCCTGGCCTTCACCTAGGTTAGAGAGGTAAGTGGCAAAGTGTCTGTGATTTTAGGCAGACCAGGCCAGTCAGCAGCCAGTCTAACATGGAATCCCAGAGGACAGGAAGAAAACGAATAATCCACTTGTCAAAGAAACAAAGGAGGACAGATCAGGCTGAGAATCAGTGAGTGGAGTGGCAGTGAGGGTTGACAGTTGCACAGGCGGCTGGTGCAGAAGGCTTTAGGTGCCACAGTAAGTAGCCTGGGAGAACTTGGCACTGCCCAGTGACTAGGTGTGCATTTTACAAAAATTCTTCACAGTGGTTGGAGAAAGAATTGGGCAGGGATAAGAGTGAAGGTCTAGAAACGATGGCAGTCATGCAGAAGAGAATTTAGAAGGCTCAAACTAAGGCCTTAGCAGTAAGAAGGAGGTGGGGGATGGGGTGGGAGCTTCAGAACTACTTAGGCAATAGAATCAGCGGTCCTAGGGGCTGTTTTGGATGTGGCCAAGGGAAGTAGCCCATTTCTGATTTAGGCAAAAGTGTGGGTGGCAAGGTGGATATGAGGCTCTGTAATTGAGAGGGATCCTGGGCAGAGATGAGGACCTGAGACGGTGTGTGGGAGTGCTGGGAGCCATGAGGGCTCCCAGGGGAATATGTGGAGCCAGGAGAGGAATGTCTCAAGGTGGAAGGAGGGGCCAGAAACATCCAGGGGCAGCAGCGCGGAGGGCAAGCAGCAGCCTGAAGACGCTAATGCAGTGTGGTCTGCGTGGAAGAAATGAGGCATGAGAGGAGTGGGATGTGAAGACCACTTTTTCCAGATACAACAGGCAGTAGGATGGCAAAGCAGTACCTGGAGGGGAAGGTGTAGAAGAGGAAACAAATTTGCTTTCTGATACTTTAAAAACTTTTTGTTTGGTAATAACTTCAAATGCACAGAAAAAATTCAAGAATACGAACAGTAAAAAGATTCCCATCACTCAGATTTACCTGCAGTTAACATTTGACTTCATTTTGTCCTCTTGCTCTCTCTTTCATACATGCAAGTATTTTTCTAAACCATTTGTAGGTAATTATATACATCATGGCCCTTTATCCCTAAATACTTCAGCGTATATTTCCTAAGGATTGGGATAGTCTCATAGATAACTACAGTAAGTTTTCAAATTGAGTAAATTGGAAGTTGATACTGCTTTTACCTAGTCTACCATCCATTTTCCAACTTTTTCAGCTGATGTAATTGTTTTCTATAACAATTTTCCCCTCCGCTACAGATCCAGTCAAGGTCAGGAATGTAATATAGTGGTCAAGTCTCTTTAGCCTTCTTTAATCTGGAACATTTGTACAGCTCTTCTTTGTCTTTTATGAAAATGATGTATTTGAAAAATACAGTCCCCCCTCTTCTCTCCACCCTCTGTTTTAGTAGAAAACATTGTTCGTTTTGGGTTTACCTGGTGATTCAGTTCATGTAATGCATTCTCATAGGTGATGTGTCCTTCTCCCTACTAAAAGCATATTATGTCTATCTGCCCCTCTGGAGGTGTTAAATTAGAACACCTGGCCAAGGCATTGTCTCTCCACTCTTGTATTTTTCCCCCTTGTAAATAATTTAAGCATTATAAATATTTAAGACCATGCGGATATCCTGCTCCTTGTCAGAATTTCCTCCTAGACGTAGAATTCACTGATGATTCTCTCCTGATCCAGTCTTTACTCTGATAGTTGCAGAGTGCTGACTTTTCCAATTCTGGTATTCCTTCTACATTTATCAACCAGCACTCACATTCTGCTGTAAGCAAGAGGCCTCCCTTTCTCCCCTGTTTGTACCTGTGTAGACTCATGAAATCCTATCTTCAGTGGTTTATAATGTATCACTATACTTAGTTATTACGGTGCTTGAACACTGGATGTTCAAGCTGGGTCTTGCAGCGTGTCCCTACCCTTTTTTTGAGCCTCTCTTTACTTGCTGGTATAGCATGATGCTCATCTTGTATGTTTCCTGCTTTCAGCCTGCAATCAGCCATTTCTTTGAGGAGCTCTGGTTCCTTTTAGTAAATAATGGTAATAGTAGACCCAGAATGGGGTACTAGATGTGCTCATTACCACTGGAGTGTTTTGTTTTTTGGGCTTTCAGCAAACAGAACTAGGAAATCAGGAAATATATGCAAATATATGCATACAGCCATACAGGCTTGAATATACATGCATGCACATATATGTGATTTAGAAATCATAAGTTCACACCAGTACTGCAAATTCATCCCAAGGTTCATTTTCGCCTTCTTCTCTTGCTTATTTTTATGTCCCTTTCTCTAGGAGAGCCCTGAGCCCAACAAAATCAACACATTTACTCAGGTTCTTAATACATCTAAAGTTGTTTCAGAATCGCTTTGTTCATACCTCTACAGAAAACCTGCTAACAGTTGAATTATTTGTACCTCTTCCCACTGCCCCGCCTCCAGCTTTCCCCAGACTGAATGTACTTACGTAGTCAAATACGTTTCTAAGTTGCCTGGATTACTTCTGTATTTCTTTTTTGTTCTCTTCCTGCGATTGTGGTATTCATGGGAAATGCAAATAGGTTGATTTGTTTTGTTTTAGCAGTTTTTCTCCTTTCCCATCCTCACTGATGTTTAATTTTATTCTTTGAATATGTAGAATATTATGTATTTTGTATAGTAAAAACTATTAAAAAGGCTATATACTCGGAGTCTCTCTCTTTCTCCCATCCCTTCTGCTCCATTCTCCACACTCCTCCCTTGTAGGTGATGAACCTCATTGTTCTCTGGTTTATCGTTGCTATAAAGAGAAACACATACGTGCTTGTTTTCCTGTTTTCTTTCCTACACGAAACGTAGCATGTATATTACTCTTTTTCACTTTGACCTTTTGACTTTAGGATATACAGATTGCTCCATATCAATTCAGAAGCGCTCCTCGTCCTTTTTCAGTACTCCGTTGTGTATATGCTCCAGTTTATTTAACCAGTCTTCTGTGCTTGGAGATTTATGTAGGTTTCCAGATTTTGCAGTTACAATTAATGCTATAATGAGTCACTCTGTGCATGTATGTTTTTTATATTGTTGGAGGTGTATCTTCATTATAAATTCCTAAAGTAGGACTTCTGGGTAAATGCATATGTAGTTTTGATAGATATTGGCAAATTCCCCTTAAAAGGGGCTGTGCCAGTTTGCATTCCCAGCAGTGTATGAGAGTGCCTGTTTCCTCCACAGCCTTATCAACAGTGTATTGTCAAGCTTTGAACATTTGCTAATATGACAGGTGAGAAGTGGTGTTTTACAGTAGTTCTTATTTATCTTTCTCTCATTATGAATCAAGTCGAATGTTTAAGGACCATTTAAAAGAATTGTTTGTTCATCTTTTTACCTGTTTTCCTGTATGATTTGTAGTTTATTTTTCTTCAGTTTTTGAAAATGTATCAGTCTTTTGTTGCATATGAGTCATCATTAGAAAGCTTCCTCTATACTCAGGCCAGAGAGGCATTTACCCATGTTTTCTGGCATTTGTACAGCTTTTTTATATTTAGAGCTCTATTCCATATGGAGTTTATTCATGTGTGTATGGTGTGAAGAATGGGATCTAATTGTATCTTTTTTTTTTTTTTTTTTTGTGAGACGGAGTCTTGCTCTGTCACCAGGCTGGAGTGCAGTGGAACGATCTCGGCTCACTGCAACCTCTGCCTCCCAGGTTCAAGTGATTCTCCTCCCTCAGCCTCCCAAGTAGCTGGGATTAGAGGTGCGTGCCATCACGCCCAGCTAATTTTTGTATTTTTACTAGAGACGGCTTAACCATGTTGGCCAGGATGGTCTCGATCTCTTGACCTCGTGATCCGCCCACCTCAGCTTCTCAAAGTGGTGGGATTACAGGTGTGAGCCACTGCACCCAGCCTTAATTTTATCTTTTTCCATATGGCTTCATAGTTGTTACAACACTATTAAAAGGACCATCTTTTCTCTGGTAATTTCAGATATCATCTGTATCATTAATTTCTGTGTCTACCTGGGACAATGTCTGGACTTCCTGTTCTATTCCATTTGCCTGTCTATGTACCAGGACCATACTATTTTAATTATAGACGTTTAATAATATATTTTAATATGCAGGTTGCCTTCTTCCTCATCTCTGCAGTAACTGTCTTCATGGTTTCATAGCCTTCTCCCTGATACCCCTCCCCAGGTACTAATTTTTTCTCTTTAGTTTTGTCTGTCCTCTGCTGATTTTGTCTAACTTTTCATAATAAAAAAAAGTTTTACCTAACTTTTGTCCTACTTATGAATTTTTCTGTCTTCTTCAGAGATTTCTTCTGCCCTCTTGTTTGTTTTTCCATGACTGGGTGACATTGTTTAAAAACTGATTGGTGTTGCCCATGGTTCTGTGCATCATTTCACCCTGCCCTATGCTAAGCTGTTATGCAAGAATAGAAAAGCTCATTGTTCCATTGAAAATCCAGGGTTCTAGCATTTTAACATTAGTTCCACAGGGGCAGAAATTTTGTCATATTCATTGTTGTATCCCTAGTACTTAAAAACCGGTACATGGCACATGGTACCTGTCACACAGTATGTTGTCAGTAAATGTTTGTCAAGTGAATGTTGTTCATTGTTATTCCAGTTTGTTTTTGTTTTTTTTTAAGAGAGTGAATAGGTGTCCTTTTCATTTTCTTGGTTTAGTGTCACATTTGAAGACGAGCACTGAGGATGAGGAACCAACTGAAGAATATGAAAATGTTGGAAATGCAGCATCTAAGTGGCCAAAAGTGGAGGATCCTATGCCTGAATCTAAGGTTGGTGACACATGTGTTTGGGATAGCAAGGTAGAGAATCAACAGAAAAAGCCTGTGGAAAACAGGATGAAGGAGGACAAAAGCAGCATCAGGGAAGCAATCAGCAAAGCCAAGAGTACAGCAAATATAAAGACAGAACAGGAAGGTGAGGCATCTGAGAAGAGCTTGCATCTGAGCCCACAGCATATCACACACCAGACTATGCCTATAGGACAGAGAGGCAGTGAGCAAGGCAAACGTGTGGAGAACATTAATGGAACCTCCTACCCTAGTCTACAGCAGAAAACCAATGCTGTTAAGAAATTACATAAATGTGATGAATGTGGGAAATCCTTCAAATATAATTCCCGCCTTGTTCAACATAAAATTATGCACACTGGGGAAAAGCGCTATGAATGTGATGACTGTGGAGGGACTTTCCGGAGCAGCTCGAGCCTTCGGGTCCACAAACGGATCCACACTGGGGAGAAGCCGTACAAGTGTGAGGAATGTGGGAAAGCCTACATGTCCTACTCCAGCCTTATAAACCACAAAAGCACCCATTCTGGGGAGAAGAACTGTAAATGTGATGAATGTGGAAAATCCTTCAATTATAGCTCTGTTCTGGACCAGCATAAAAGGATCCACACTGGGGAGAAGCCCTATGAATGTGGTGAGTGTGGGAAGGCCTTCAGGAACAGCTCTGGGCTCAGAGTCCACAAAAGGATCCACACGGGGGAGAAGCCCTATGAATGCGACATCTGTGGGAAAACCTTCAGTAACAGCTCTGGCCTTAGGGTCCATAAAAGGATCCACACAGGTGAGAAACCTTACGAATGTGATGAGTGTGGGAAGGCCTTCATTACTTGTAGAACACTTCTCAACCATAAAAGCATCCACTTTGGAGATAAACCCTATAAATGTGATGAGTGTGAGAAATCTTTTAATTATAGCTCTCTTCTCATTCAGCATAAAGTCATCCACACTGGAGAGAAACCTTATGAATGTGATGAATGTGGGAAGGCTTTCAGGAACAGCTCAGGCCTCATAGTGCATAAAAGGATCCACACAGGAGAGAAACCTTACAAGTGTGATGTCTGTGGCAAAGCATTCAGCTATAGCTCAGGCCTCGCAGTCCATAAAAGCATTCACCCTGGGAAGAAAGCCCATGAATGTAAGGAGTGTGGGAAATCCTTTAGTTATAACTCACTACTTCTTCAACACAGAACTATTCATACCGGAGAGAGACCTTATGTATGTGATGTGTGTGGGAAAACGTTCAGAAACAATGCAGGCCTCAAAGTCCACAGGAGGCTCCATACTGGGGAAAAACCATATAAGTGTGATGTGTGTGGGAAAGCCTATATCTCACGCTCTAGCCTTAAAAATCACAAAGGAATCCACCTTGGGGAGAAGCCCTATAAATGTAGCTATTGTGAGAAATCCTTCAACTACAGCTCTGCCCTTGAACAGCATAAAAGGATTCATACCAGGGAAAAACCCTTTGGGTGTGATGAGTGTGGTAAAGCTTTCAGAAATAATTCTGGCCTTAAAGTACATAAACGAATCCACACTGGGGAACGACCTTACAAATGTGAAGAATGTGGGAAAGCATACATCTCTCTCTCGAGCCTTATAAATCATAAAAGTGTACACCCTGGGGAGAAGCCCTTTAAGTGTGACGAGTGTGAGAAGGCCTTCATCACATACCGAACCCTTACAAACCACAAAAAAGTTCATCTTGGGGAGAAGCCCTACAAATGTGATGTGTGTGAGAAATCTTTTAATTACACATCGCTCCTTTCTCAGCACAGAAGGGTCCACACTAGAGAGAAACCCTATGAATGTGACAGGTGTGAGAAGGTCTTCAGAAACAACTCAAGCCTTAAAGTTCATAAAAGAATCCATACTGGGGAGAGGCCCTATGAATGTGATGTGTGTGGAAAAGCCTACATCTCACACTCAAGCCTTATTAACCATAAGAGTACCCACCCTGGCAGGACACCCCATACATGTGATGAATGTGGAAAAGCTTTTTTCTCAAGCAGAACTCTTATAAGCCATAAAAGAGTCCATCTTGGGGAGAAACCCTTCAAGTGTGTTGAGTGTGGGAAATCTTTCAGTTACAGCTCTCTCCTTTCTCAGCACAAGAGGATCCACACAGGGGAGAAACCCTATGTGTGTGATAGGTGTGGGAAGGCCTTCAGGAACAGCTCAGGCCTCACAGTGCATAAAAGGATCCACACAGGTGAGAAACCCTATGAATGTGATGAGTGTGGGAAGGCATACATCTCACACTCAAGTCTTATCAATCATAAAAGTGTCCACCAGGGGAAGCAGCCCTATAATTGTGAGTGTGGGAAATCCTTCAATTATAGATCAGTCCTTGACCAGCACAAAAGGATCCACACTGGAAAGAAGCCATACCGATGTAATGAGTGTGGTAAGGCTTTTAATATCAGATCAAATCTCACCAAGCATAAAAGAACCCATACTGGAGAGGAATCTTTAAATGTGATATATGTGGGAAGTTATAGTGGCACATCCCAGAAGAGAACCTATGAGGGAGGGAATGCCCTGGATGGGGGCAGGATGAGGATGCCTCTGTAGCAGGCAGAGCTTACCAAGTCTCTCCGAACTCAAATGGAAGAAATACCTTATGAATGTAAGAATGTAGGGGGTCATGGCTTGTAATTTACACAGTGTAAATGAAACCATCCTAGAGGATTATGAGGAATCCTTTCTATGTGATTTTCAATCATAGCAAGCAAGAAAGGCTCCAGTGTCAAGGTAGTTCAGCTCTTACAGGATATAAAACAGTCCATACTTGAGAGAAAAACTTAGATCTGAGTGATGGAATGTGAAGCAAATCTTCAAAATCAGTAGACATTTCTGGACATAAAACACAGATGAGGAAAGGGCTTCAATTAGAAGTTACGTAATCACCATCAGAAAGTTCATGTTTGGTAAATTCTGTTACTAGAAATGTAGGAAATTCAGGTATAGCTTTGAATCCCAATTACACATTGGTCAGTGGGAAAACTAAGGGCCTCCAACAGGCAAATTCAGGGAGGATAGGTTTCAGGGAATATAAATTTATTTAATATTAGTGGTCTTTAAGTATAAACTTGATGTAATTGGTTTGGGAGGGGGCAGTGATGATGACTTCTGAAACAAAATTTGGATTTCCTTTTAGGAAAAGTAGAAAGCATAGACTTACAAGTCTAACAGGAGATAGGAGAGAGTCACTCATAAAAAATGCAAATTGATGAACGTACTATTGTGATACATTAGTTGAATGGATGAAACTTTTTTAAAGTTTCAGATGAACTCCCATAATGAATGATGAATTTGTGATGAGGGATAACCTGGAAGTGGTATTCACACATTATGCTACAATAAAAGGTTCTACCGTGGAGAGGATTTTGACACATTCAGTAACTAATGGAACACACCGTCAACATGAATTCGCACCTTACATGACAGAAGTGATTCAGGGATTCCTATGAATAGAAATGCTGAGAAGGAACGCATTTTATTGCAGAAGCTAAAAAGCTAAAGTACCAGTCATCTAGAGAGAAGGAAATTAATGTTTCTTAATAATCCTGTTAAATGTTTGATTGTTTTTGGAATGTGTTATTGTAAAGATGTCATGCAGGACATGTATATGTTGTCTGTTGTAAAATGTTAACGAATACTTTGTTCAGGGCTCACTCTCTCTTTGTCATGAAAGCCAGCTCCTTGTGGCGAGGTAAAGTGGAATTCCAATAAAGAAATTCCTTAAATCAAAACGGGCTGTGAGTTTAGATGGAGGATACCCAAGAGCCATTTGTGTGCCAGATCTTTGTTGGGTAAGTTATACCAGATCCAAACCAGAGAGGGTAGTAGACTCATCCCACAGGGCTAGCAGCTCAGCTGGTTTCACCAGAAGTTAGAAGGTGCCTCCCTAGGAGGAGCACAGGATAGATTTTGAGGGGACCACAGTGGAGCCATGTGATCGTCGTTACTGGGCCAGATCCTAACTCGGGAGCAGGTAGGTTGTGTGAGTGATCAGTCACCACACACAGCTCTGTCAGGAACATGTAGAATTGAACATAAACTACTGCTGTGTATGAAGCTGTTAACTAGGTAACTCAAAGGGTAAAAATAGACTCTTCTGAGAATTGAGTAACCTGTCTGAGAATACTGTGAGTGGGCCAATCAGCAAAGGCTGAATTTGAAGTCTGGTATCTGGTTTCAAAACCCATTGTCTTTACAAGAGAACAATCTCAGCCATGTAGTTTCCCATCTCCTTCTGGGACTCCTATCTCTGTAGCCAGATAGTTTCCATGCTCTTTCTAGGAGTATATTTGTTTCACTTTGTATCCAAACCCCTACCAGTAAGTTTTGATGGCTGCGGTGGGGAAGGGTGGAGTTGAGGGAGGAAAGGGAGATGGAGCATTTCTACCACTGCTCCACTTGGACTGTTCTGATCATACTTGCTCTCTATCCTCCTTTGCACATGACACTGGCAAGCCTGACCCTATACACAGACTTGGACTGATTTATTCAGCAAATACTTGAGGATCTACTAGGCACTGTCCCTGTCCCAGGTACTGGGTGGGAGAGGATGGCAGCAGGAGTAGATTCTGGTAGATGAGGATGAATAAAGGGAGAAAGGCTGTGAGCACAACCACCCTAATGGATGAATTAAGACTGCAGGTGCTCAGAGGACAGCGACTAGGACCAACCAAGAGGGAGGAATTGGTGACATCTGGGCAGGACGTTGAATTGGGTTTTCTGAGAGGAGTAGGAACTAGGATGACCTGAGTAAAGGCAGCTACGGAAGTGCCCAGGCATCCTCCAGCAAGGCTGGTCTCTGGCAGGGCTGATGTGTGGGCAGGAAGGAGGGTGCCATGGAGTACTCGTTCCCCGTAGTCGTGGGGACATGGATTGGGCTTCTTTTTGCTGAAGATGAGACCAGCTTTGGTTGTTTTTAACCTGAGGTTTCCATGTGCTCCTCACACAGGAGAGCTCCCGTACTTGAGCTCCAGCTGAACCTAATGCACTGTCTACTTTTGGGGAGATGCAGGCTAAATAACAAAGGAGAGGATGGCCACAGCTCAGGTGGGGATTCTGAGTGCCTCAGCCCCACTAAGCACCAGACAAGCTCCTACTGCGGCCCCCATCTACTCGCATGCTCCAGAAATGGGCCCAGGTCCTCAAGTGTACCTACAGCCAGATACAAGCCATTCAGGCTGATCCCAGACATGGTGGGGTCTCCCTTGTAGCACAGACCCAATGAACTGGTGCGGCTGAGCCTGCTCAGACCAGGGATGGAACATGGTTTAGGCACCACCCCCGGTTCCTTCCAGAGAACGATATGCAAGTGGGAAAAATAAAGGGGGAGGGAAAAGCGGGGAGGAGAAAGAGAAAAGAAAAGCCTGAAAAAACAGTGAGTATGGAATAGCCTTCCATAGGAGTGCATGTCTCTATTAGCAAATTTGTCTGAAGGTGAAAGCCTGGAAAATAATTTCATGTTTTGTGTATGAAGACACTGGGCGTGAAACGGTACTGAACACCAATCCTGCAATGCAGGGGAATTTTCCTCCGTGGGATTCAGAAATGAGAGGATCACCACCAGGACAACACCTGAAGATGGTGTTAGCTGAAGGCAGACATTGGGGACCTGAAGTCTGTCTGCATCAAGACCTTGAGTAATTGGCCACAGCTGTACCCAAGGAGTTCCTGGGCTGGGGAGACCCTTCATTTCTCTTCTCCAGCTTCAGCTAAAGGCCTAGAGACATGGAGAAGGAAGCAGAATACAGTACTTCAATTGTCTTCCTACTGAGGAGCCATTCTCATTTAGACCTGGCGGTTCTCAGGTCTGGATAGTGTCATTGTGCGAAGGAAGCCGTTTGCATGAAACCTGTGTAGAGTCAGTGAAGTATAGTGGCCGAGGACATGGTCTCCACAAGGAAGCCTGAGTTCAAATAAGGACTTTCACTTATTTCCAGATGACTTTAGGCAAGTAACTAAACTTGTGTGTCCTCACGTGTCTTTTTTTTTTTTTTTTTTTTTTTTTTTTTTTTTTTTAAGACGGTCTCGTTCTGTCGCCCAGGCTGGAGTGCAGGGGCATTAGCTCACTGCAGTCTCCACCTCCTGAGCTCAAGCAATTCTCATGCCTCAGCCTCCAGAGTAGCTGGGATTACAGGCATGCGCCACCATGCCAGGCTAACTTTGGTATTTTTGGTAGAGAAAGGGTTTCATCATTGTTGGCTGGGCTGGTCTTGAACTCCTGACCTCAAGTAATCTGCCCAGCCTCAGACTCCCAAGGTGCTGAGATTACAGGCCTGAACCACCACAGGCTACCATACTGGGCCCTCACCTGTCTTTTGTAAAGATAATAGTAGCAACCTCAGGTTGTAATGAGGGTTGGAAACATTAATAGTGTTAAGGTCCTTAGAAGGCTGCCTAGAATGAGAAGTATTTGCATAAGAATGTATGGAATAAGTCTGAAGTGTGGTGGCCCTGTCCAAAGACTCAGCATCTAGATGCTTGGGCAGTGGAGGACAACTCTTACCTGGAAGTCAAGGAAATCCCTCAAGGACCACCCCCTACTCAGACAAAACTTGAGAAGAAACATGAGAAAAGTTATTTTTTGGATGTTCCTGAGTGGTATCTTGCTTCTAAGTAAGCAATCCATTGTCTCTAAACAAACATGTTTTGTCTTTGTCGGGCTGCAAAAGGGCTCAGCAGGAGGAGCCTCCAGCTGAGGCCAGTAACCACACGTTGGGGGTTGAGGGCTGCCTCACGCTTGCCTTTCTGGCCTGGGCAGCCTGCTCACTCACATGGTACACATCTTGTTTCCCCTGTGTTTTCCCAGCAATATTCAGATGTGCTGGAGATTACTGTAGGAAGGGTTGGTGAGAGCCAGACTTTTACCATCTTAACCATGGCTATTTCTGGTGAGTGTCCCTTAAGATCTCAGAGGATAAGTAGTGGTCCTGGGGTGGGCAGGGCAAAGCCCCAGAGAGGAGCAGGTGAAGTTCCTCTGGTCTTGGGTGCAAACCATGGGGCCATATTCCATTCAGTGCAATAATATGGATTTATTTCCTGTTCTGTCATTTTCCCATCTGTAAAATGAGGGAAAAGACCTGTTTACAAGATTATTTTAAGGCTTAATAAAAATGCTCTGTACTTTATAAAAATTTTGTACAAACGTTGTTAAATTGACTATCTTTTTAAAAGTTGAAGGAGATAAGAATGAGAGCAAAAGTTGATGAAACAGCAAACACAACAAAGAACAACAAAGTCAAGGTTGCTGCTTTGAAAAGACAAAATTGGTAAACCTCTGATGTGATTGAGAAAGAAAAGCACAAATAATCAAAGTCAGGAATGAAAATTGGGAAATCACAACAGATTCCATGGCTTATTTAGAAGTATATTTTTTAACTTCCAAACATGGGAATTTCCTAGTTATATTTTTGTTATTGTTGTTACAAAACATGGTCCATGTGACTGCTGTCCTTTGAATTGTGTTGAGATTTGCTTTATGGCCCAGCATGTGTTTAACCTTAGTGAAGATTTGTGGGCACTTGAAAAGAATGCATGTTCTGCAGATGCCGCATGCAGTCATCTACATAAAGCCATTAGATTGTAATACGTTGTTCATATCTTCTCTGCTCTTAATGAAGTTTTATTTGCTTCTATTAATGAGACAATTGTTGAGTTATCTCTACTTAGATATAGTTCTGTGAACTTTGCTTTATATATTTGAGGCCACACAAATATAAAATTGTTATATGAATTGAAATTTTATGAAGTAAACCTTTTATCCCTAGTAATGCCTTTTACTAAAAGTCTCTTTTTTTCTGGTATTAATAACATCAGCTTCTTTTTTGGTTACCGTTATATGGCATTTCTCTTTCTTTACTTTCACGCTTTCTGTATTTTTATGTTTTAGATGTACCTCTTGGAAATAGCATATAGTTTGTTTTAATCCAGTCTGATAACTTACTTTAACAGGATCATTTAGCCCTTTAATTTATAGTTATGAATGATTCTATTCATACTCTATTTTTCCATCTTTTGGTTTGGAAGTTATATACTTTTTCTCTTCTTTTAGTGGCCTAGGAATTAAAAGGTGGATTCTTGACTTACCAAAGCCTAATGTTAATTGATACTTTTATCTTCGTCCTAGACAATGCAAAGTTCCTAGAATACTTCTTACCTTCCATCCTATATGCTGTTGTTTTGGTTAATTTTAATTATATATACATATAAATGTACATATATATTAAAATATGTTATTATTTTCTATACCAAACGTTTAATTACTTTTCTTTTTTTTTAAATTTATTTATTTATTTTTTTTTTTTGGAGACAGTCTTGCTTTGTCACCCAGGCTGGAGTGCAGTGGCAAAATCTCGGCTCACTGCAATGGCTACCTCCCAGATTCAAGCAATTCTCCTACCTCAGCCTCCCCAGTAGCTGGGACTATAGGCACACACCACCATGCCCGGCTAATTGTTGTATTTTTAGTAGAGACGGGGGTTTCACTGTGTTGGCCAGGCTGGTCTTGAACTCCTGACCTCAGGTGATCCACCTGCCTTGGCCTCCCAAATTGCTAGGATTACAGGCATGAGCCACCATGCCCAACCTTTTCATTTCCTTTCATTCTTCTCCACCTCTGCAATTTTTTATTTGGGGACATTTTCCTTCTCTCTAGAAAACTTTCTTTAGAATACTCTGTCCTGTTAGAGGTAAAACTTCACAATTTTTATTTGCCTAAAAATAACTTCATTCTTAAAAATGGTTTTTTGTGGGAATAGAATTCTAGGTTAGACCTCATGTTCTTTTGTCACATTGGATGCATTAAGCCACTGAAGTGTGATTTCCACTCTGGCTGTTCATCTGCCAGTTTAATGTATTCTTTTTAAAATAGCTTCTTTTAAGATTTTTTTAATCTTCGGTTTATTCCAGTTTCACTGTGTTTTATTTTGGTGTGGATTTTTTATAAGTGATCCTTTTTTGTATACTCTGGGCTTTTAAATTTGTGTATTTATCTTTCATGAGTTTTGGTAAATTCTCAGCCATTGTGTGCTCAGATATTAGCTCTATACCATTCTTTTTTCATTTCCTTCTAGGACTCCAAATAAAGCCTTCTCACTGTATCTCCTGTGCCTCTTAAGTGCTCGTTTCCATCCTTTTGTCCCCTACTCCTTACCCAGGCTTCATTCTGGATCTAATTTACCTTCCAGTTCACTAAGTTTCTCTTTAGCTATGTAATCTGGCTTAAATATACCCATTGAGTGCTCAATTTAAGTTTTTCTGTTTCTCAGTAATAGACTTTTCATTTGCTTCCTTTTTTCTGGAGACGGAGTATCACTCTGTCGCCCAAGGTTGGAGTACAGTGGCAAAATCTGGGCTCACAGCAACCTCTGCCTTCCAGGTTCAAGCAATTCTTACGCCTCCCATGTAACTGGGATTACAGGTGTGCACCACCATGCCTGGCTAATTTTTGTATTTTTAGTAGAGAGGGGTTGTGCTGTGTTGCCAGGCTGGTCTCAAACTCCTGACCTCAAGTGATCTGCCCACCCCAGCTTCCCAAAGCTCTAGGATTACAGGCATGAGCCACAGCACTGGACCTTCTTCCTTTTTCATAGTATGCCAGATTCTCAAATGTAGCTTTATTTTCCTTGAACATAGTAGCATTTTTAGTTTAAAAGCTGTGTCTGATAGCATCTGTGGCAGTGCTTTCTCTGATGTTGACTCTGAGTGTGTCACCTATTCTCTGCATTAGATTTCTTCCATCTGAACACTTGAGTGGTTTCTGATTTTCAGGTTAGAATCTGACTGATAGACTGCTGTCTGCATGCTCTTAATCTGGGCCTTACAATTTTCTACAGAATCCTTTCACAGCCCACAGCCCACAGCCCCTCTTTGTATTTTGTTAACTTTCAGTAAAAGGGAACTTGGTTCAAGAACTGTAAAAGTTGTTGTCTGAACCCAAAATTCTAAAGGGAATCCAAACTGGGAAAGAAAAAATCCTCGCCTCAAGTTCCTAGCCTTAGTAAAAAGTATATATATATATATATATGTGTGTATGTATATATATATGTGTATGTATATATATGTATGTATATATATATGTGTGTGTGTGTGTGTATATATATATGGATATAGCACACTGCCATGCTTTCCATTTTGTTTCAGTTGGTCTCTTATCCAGCAAGTTCATTTTCTTTCCACAAAACAATATCTGGGATACAAGAGGTTAGCTATTTGCTAATAGTTAAGACGTTTTGGGGTCATTTCAATTCAGTATTTTTAATGTTTCATTCAGAAGTCATTTGAATAACTAAGAAGTTATTTCTTAGACCCTGTCCTCAGAATACACCATTGCAACAAAAAACAAAAAAACCTCAGCACAAATCATGGAGTTCCTAGGTTCCAGCGTCCTTCTTTTTCTGGACGCTTTTTTCCTCTAAAAACAAAGATTGACTCAAGCATGTAACAACAGAAATACTGTGATAGCAATACTATGCTAACATTTTTATTTATTCCTGTGATCTTAACACCTTCCTCCCCAACCCCAACACACACACACACACACACACACACACACACAAATTGTTTTAGCTACTTCTATTTTTTTTTTGAGGCAGATTCTCGCTCTGTCGCCCAGGCTAGATAGAGTGCAGTGGCGGGATCTTGGCTCACTGCAACCTCCACCTCCAGGGTTCAAGCGATTCTCCTGCCTTAGCCTCCTGAGTAGCTGGGATTACAGGCGCCCACCACATGCCCGGCTCATTTTTGTATTTTTAGTAGAGATGGGGTTTCACTGTGTTGGCCAGGCTTGTCTCGAACTCCTGACCTTATGATCCACCTGCCTCAGCCTCCCAAAGTGCTGGGATTACAGGCCTGAGCCACCATGCCCAGCCATTTTAGCTGCTTCTATGGGAAGAGTTACGTTTCCCAGTTTGATTCTCATCTCTACCCACACCTAGAATCCTGCAAGTTATCTAGTTTATCTTGTCTGGAAACTGGCTGATTGACATCCAGTGGGGCTTTGAGGGGCATCTTCAAAGCCTTCCCCATCCCCAGCTCCTCAACTCCCTCTGAAGCTGACTGCCCCTTTTCACGGCCAGTGCATTTAGGAGAAGCCAGGGATCTGCCCCTGAACATAACTAGGCCTTGGCTAAGACCACTGTCCACTGTGCCCAAGCAGTCAGGCACATGGGACAGTGGACAAACACCATGGCTAGAACATCTTCATGGAACACGCCCTCATGATGCAATGGCCTTGTGGCACTTACTGTGGAGGCCTCCACCTGGGGATCCTCAGCTCGCCTCTCTGGCCTTCCTGACATTCTTTCTTTAGGCAGTCCCACAACTAGTATGTTAGGTGGGCTGGGGGCTGGTGGAAAGGGACCACAAGCATATACCCATTGTAAGGTTAGTTCTTCATTAATTAACCAGGGATTCAAAATCTTACCAGAAGCAAAATGGTGGGTGGGGCAGAGAAAAAACAAATTCAGCACATCACTGTGAAGCTGTCCTTGGCGCTGGGAGTTCTTAAGGGGGTAGGAGGCAAGCAGATCTGGAACACTTATTTCCTGTCAGGACACAACCATTTTATTTTTTATTTATTGTAACTTTTAGGTTCAGGAGTACATGTGCAGGTTTGTTATGTAGGTAAACTGTGTCACAGGGATTTGGTGTTCAAATTGTTTCATCACCCAGGTAATAAGCATAGTACCCAATAGGAATTTTTTCTGATACTCTTCCTCCTCCTGCCCTTCACCCTCAAGTAGGCCTCAGTGTCTGTTTTTCCCCTCTTTGTATCCATGTGTTCTCATTGTTTAGCTCCCACTTGTAAGTGAAAACATGCGGTATTTGGTTTTTCCGTTGCAGCATTAGTTCTCTTAGGATAATGGCCTCCAGCTCCACTCATGTTGCTGCAAAGGATGTGATCTCCTTTTTTATGGCTGCATAGTATTCCATGAACACAACCATTTTAAACTAAGGGATTAGGTGACTGTTATGAAAGAAACTAAGTAATTTGTGCTTTAAGGAATTCATACAAACAGGCTGTCATGGTTCCTGAACCAGCCTCAGTATCACCAGGGCAGCATGTGAGAGGAAGTTGAGGCAGTATCTTGGCACTGTTTTTAGCCACTGCTCTATACCAGGCCTTTATATGAGTGCTTTTGCTTCTAAACATACGCTTTTGGTTTTTAACAAAAGGAACCTGACTGTATATACATGATATTGGCACATTTGCATTTAGACAGTAGCTCACCTTTCTGTAAAAGTCCACATACATCTTTCTGCATTCTTTCTAAGGGTTTCCTAGTACACTCATTGTATAGTTATACCATACTTTACTTAACCCCCTCATGATAAATGTTTTGGTGGTTTCCAGTTTTTGTTAGTATCAACAGTGTTGCAGTAAAATACATTTTTCTCTCCTGTATGTTATCCTACAAATACATTTCTAAAGGCAGAATTGCTGAGTTAAGATTTGCTTTTAAATTTTTGCTACATACTGGAAAATTGCTCTCCAAAAATATTGTAACAATTTATACTTTTGACAATAGTGTATGAAACTTTGTTTCTCCACACCTTCACAAACACTAGGTATTATCAACATTTTTCACCTTTTACCAAACTGATGGTTAACAAATGCTCTTTTTAAAAAAATTTTATTTTGAAACAATCTAAACTTGCCAAAGAAGTATAGTATAAAACTTTTTCCTTCCTGAACCATTTGAGAATAAGCTTCTGATATGATGCCCCATCACCTCAGAATACTTTTGAGTGTGTATTTCCTACAAGAACCTCCTACATCATCAGCATACAACCATGAAAATTAGGGACTCAACATCAATTCATTACTACTACCTAATGCTCAGACCCCGTGCAAGTTTCTTTCATTGTCCTAATGTCCTTTAGAGCAAAGATTTCAGTTTAGAATTGTGCATTGTGAGTGTTGCATCTTTTTAGTCTCCTTCAATCTAGAATGGTGCCTCAGCCCTTCCTCAACTTTCATGACTTTTCAAAATTGCCCTACTCACCTCACTTGGGCAGTGACACCCTCACTCCCTGCATGGTCCCCTCTTCACCTTGCTTGGGCACTGAGACCCATGCCAGGCCATGCTCCACCACCACATGGGCCTCCTTGACTCCCTCCTCACCCTGCTTGGGCTCCAACACCTAGCTTCAGGACAATGAAGTTCTGTCCCCCCACAACAGAATCCCATCTTGTTTGGTTTTGTGTAACGGGAGCTGAATTGTTAAGGAAGGGAAGGGAATTCTTTTTTTCATCTCTTAGTAGAAATTTAAGATTTCCTATACACAGGTCCAGTTAAGTTTATTCCTAGCTTCAATAAATGTTTAAAGGAGAGTCAACATCCTCAACAACTTTACATCAAGTGCATTGGCAAATGTAAGGTTTTTTTCTTGAGGGAAACTTTAACAGAGCCCAAGAACAGGACCTTGTACTTGAAGGTGCATCAGCTGAAACAGGAGGCTCGGAGGAGGGCGGCTGTCCCTTCTCGTGAACATCCCTTCAAGAGAAGCCAGACATTTGACAGAAATTGAAAAGGAGACTGTTGGAGATTATATTTCTTCTTGAGGGCCTGGATGCTGGTTTTCAGTTACGTAGTCTTCTCCCCAAGGCAAATTCATCCCAGAAGAGTCTTGTGGGGAAAATTCCAGTAAGTTGAACACTTAATTATCATAAATTTCAATGGGAGAAATTGTTATACATTCCAGAGCCTCCGAATTAACATACCTTTATGCCCAAATCCTTTACATCCCAATAGATAGACTGAGTTAATCTCTGCTAAAAGTTAACTCAGGGATTAGGAGCTTCCCTTCAATGGTTAGCCTAAAAAACAGCTGCTTGGTACCTGGCTGCTTTCCCCACCCTCACTGCCGACATCTGTCATTCAGCTTCTTCCTACCGAGTGTGAGGTGCCACACTCTTCAGTTGCTGCTCACAGTCAAGCCTTACAGCTCAAAGCTCAGAGAAGTAGACCTTTAATGCAAAACAAACCCACAAAACAGAAGAAATGTGATAGATAAACACAGTGCTAGTGATGATGTCACACGCAGTGAATAAGCCATTGTATGAAAAAGCAGAAAAGATGGGGAGGACGCAGGTAGAGTCACTGCTGTTGGATTCATCTTCAGAGATGGGCCACACGGTGGTCTCGTTTCATGGCCCTCAGCCACTCACCAATGCTTTGCAAGCTGTTTCATGCTTACTAAATTAATTCTTCATCCAGCTGATGGCCTGAAATAGAGACTGGGATAAGCCTGAGTTAGCAGAAGCTTCATTGCTCTGGGAAGCAGGCGGTAGGTGGCAGGGCTATGTCTGTGGACACTGAGGGACCTGGCTCTCAGGTGGCTACACATGTATCTGCAGAAAAATGTGGGTTTTATAGCTATTCAAATTCATTTCTGGAGATTCTCATTTGATAGCACAGGAATGTTATGCAATATTAATAAGTATAGCTTTTTTATCAACTTGAATAAAATGTATTCTTACAGGAAATTAATTGAATGCTGTGGCAGTCCCTACTTACTGCCTCTGCAAAGAGTAGCCCATAGATCTGCAACCCACCTCTGTTGTCACTATCCAGCCCCCGTGGCTCTGGAATGACAACACAGAACGCTTTCCAAGGCAGCATGGCCCTTACCTCAGTTTACATTTTCACGACAAGACTGGTTTCGCCATGTAGGCTGCTTTGTGGCTTGACCTCTGATGTGGGTTCACTTGTGCCCCCTAAAAATATATGTTCAAGTCCTAACCCGCAGTACATACAAATGTGACCTTATTTGGAAATTGCATCTTTACAAAGGTAATCAAATTAAGATGAGGTCACACTGGATTTGAGGGGCCCTGAATGCAAAGACTTGTCCTTATGAGGAGTGAGAGATTGAGAGACCCACAGGGGAGAACACTGTGTGAAGACTGAGGTAGGGATTAGAGTTGTGTTACTACAAGGAAAAGAATGTCAGGGATTGCTGGGAGCCACCGGAAGCTGAAAGAGGCAAGAAAAGATTTGCCTCTAGAGCCTTCAGAGGGCAATGGCCCTACTAACAACTTGATTTCAGGCTTCTGTCTTCCAAGTCTGTGAGAAAATAAATTTCTGTTACTTAAGCTTCTCAGTTTGTAGAATGAATAGTCATGGGTCACTTAACGTGGATACGTTGTGAGAAATGCATCGTTAGGCCGTTGTGTGAACATCATAGAGGGCACACTCACAAACCTAGCCAGGAGAGCCTACTACACAGCTAGGCTGCACGGCATGGCCTAATGCGCCGGGGCTGCAAACCAGTACAGCATGTGACTGTACTCTGAATACTGTAGGCAACTGTAACACGGTAAGTATTTGTGTATCTAACCATAGAAAAGGTACCGTAAAAATAATGGTGTTATAATTGTATGGAGTACTGTCAGAAACGCAGCCTGCTGCTGACCAAAATGTCATGTGGTATGTGACTCCTTTGTTACGGCTGCCCTAGGAAATTAATACAGGCTGCAAGAGCCAAACAACCTTAATTAATTAATTAGTTTTTTAGAATTTCAAATAAAGTTTCATACTGCACTTGAAATAGTGGTGAGAACATCCATTTGGTAATGAAACTGTCACATAAATGATCGGCTCAGTTGACACTGGCTGAGGAAAACTGCACAAGAAGTTTATTGTCAAAAACATTTATTTCTTCAAGTACAAATAGTAAGTATTAACCATTTCGGATGGTTTGCATGTGCTCGGTTTTACTTATGTTAACTCATTTTTACCTCACAACAGTTACCGTGGTAAGAAATTATTATCCACATTGATATGTAAATATCAATCCACAGAGGAAGAAAATTGCTTAAGACCAAAGTCATAGTTATTAAATGCCAGGGTCACAATATACCATCTGCAAGCTGGAGAATCAGAGAAGCCGGTGGCATGGCCTGATCCAAGTTGGAAGGCCTGAGAAACAAGGAGGCACATGGTGTAACTAAGTTCAAGGCTAAAGGCTTGAGAGCCCCAGAGGGCCACTGGTGCAAGTGTCAGAGTCCAAAGGCCAAAGGACCTAGAGTTGTGTGGTACAAGGGCATGAGAAGGGTGTCACAGCTCTGGAAGAGAGAATTCACCCTTCTTCCACCTTTTTGTTCCATCTGGGCCCTCAGGTGATTGGATAGTGCCTGCCTACATTGAGGGTTGATCTTCCCTACTCAGTCCACTGAGCAGGTATTCTCAAGTCTTTATCCTTGAACTCAGTTCCACCATGTGCTTGTTTCTCAGGCCTTCCAACTTAGACCAAGCCATGCTACCATTTCTTTCTTAGAGTTCTGAAGGCTGGCAAGTCCAAGATCAAGGTGCAGGCAGATCTGGTGTCTGAGGAAAGCCCACCTGCTTCTGGTTTGCAGATGGCAGTCTTTGTGTGGTAGTCTTACATGGCAGAGAGAGAGAGCAAGCTTTTGTGTCTCTCTTTATAATGCCACTGCCATGATCTGAATGTGTCCCCTGAAATTCACTCATAAAACAGTCTCCTCCAAAAACATGGTCCTTCTCAGAAACAGTGCTTCCCCAGCCATCTAGGCATCCCTCAATCCTGTCAAGTTGACACCTAAAACTATCACAGGGACACTCTACAAGTAACTGGTAAACCCACCAGAAGATCAGGGTCCAGATGCAGAAAGCAGGTGCTGATGAGTTTTTAAATATCTTGGGGTCTCCTAGTGGGCTGCTATAGCAAGTTACCATAGACTGGGTGGCTTAAACAACACACATTTCTTTCTTACTGTTCTGAAGGCTGGCAAGTCCAAGATCAAGGTGCAGGCACATCTGGTGTCTGATGAGGGTCCACCCGCTTTCTGATTTGCTGAGGACAGTCTTCTTGTGGTATTCTCACATGGCAGAGAGCAAGCTCTTGTGTCTCTTTTTATAAGGCCACTGCGATGGTCTGAATGTGTCTCCCAACATTCATGTGTTAGAAACTTGGTCCCCACCAGCTATATGGAGGCTGAGGTGGGAGGATCGCTTGAGCCCAGGAGTTTGAGGCTGCAGTGATCTATGATCATGCCACTATACTCCAGCCTAGGCAACAGAACAAGGCCCCATCAATCAGTCAGTCAATACATAAATAAGTCTTTCCATCTATCCCTAATGCAACAGCTGTGAGAGAACAAACATCTGTTCTATATAAATTACCCAGTCTCGGGTATTCTATTATAGCAGCACAAAATGGACTAAGACAGCCACTAATCCCACTCATGAGGGCCCTACCATCATGGCCTAATTAGTTACTTCCCAAAGTTCCCACTTCCTGTTACCATCACAAAGGGGTTAGGATCTCAGCATAGAAACTTTGGGGGCAGACGAGCATTCAGTCCATAACATGGAGTGTCTTAGCTTGGGTTGCTATAACAAATACCATGCCAGCTGGGCGCAGTGGCTCACGCCTGTAATCCCAGCACTTTGGGAGGCCGAGGCGGGCGGATCATGAGGTCAGGAGATCGAGACCATCCTGGCTAACACGGTGAAACCCCATCTCTATTAAAAATACAAAACTTAGCCAGGTGTGGTGGCGCATACCTGTAATCCCAGCTACTCAGGAGGCTGAGGCAGGAGAATCGCTTGAACCCGGGAGGCAGAGGTTGCAGTGAGCCGAGATCGTGCCACTGCGCTCCAGCCTGGGCAATAGAGCGAGACTCCATCTCAAAAAAAAAAAAAAAATACCGTGTCATAGAGTGGTGGAGAAATTTATTTCTCAGTTCTGGGGGTTAGAAGTCTGAGATCGTGGTGCCAGCATGGTCACGTTATGGTGAGGGTCATCTTACAAGTTGCAGATGGCTGCCCTCTTACTGTATCCTCATATGGCAGAAAATCAGCAAGCTAGCTCTCTGTTCTCTTTTTTTTTTTTTTTTTTTGAGACAGAGTTTCACCGTATCGCCCAGGCTGGAGTGCAGTGGCGCAGTCTCAGCTCACTGAAAGCTCTGCCTCCCAGGTTTACACCATTCTCCTGCCTCAGCCTCCTGAGTAGCTGGGACTACAGGCACCCGCTGCCACACCTGGTTAATTTTTTGTATTTTAGTGGAGATGGGGTTTCACCGTGTTAGCCAGGATGGTCTCGATCTCTTGACCTCGTGATCCGCCCACCTCAGCCTCCCAAAGTGCTGGGATTACAGGTGTGAGCCATCTCTGTTCTCTTAGGCAGTCATTCCATTCATGAGGGCTCCACTCTCATGACCTAATTACCTCCCAAAGGCCCCACCTCCAAATAGAGAAATAGATTTCAACATTAATTTTGGGGTGACAGTCCATTCGTAACGGAATGAACCAGGAGACTGCTGACCAGAACATGGAAAGTGCAGCCTTGTAAACAGTCCGTGTGCTCAAGCCTGGCTGACTGTCAGACACAACAACCAAACCCTCACCTTGACCCCCACCCCCAGCCACACTGGAACCTGAACTGAGAGGCCACCCTTTCCCTGCAGGACCAGCTCCTAGAACAGCGGTTCTCAAACTTGAGCAAGTGTCAGAATCACCTGAAGGGCTTTGTTAAAACACAGGCTGCTGGGCCCCAGAGTTTCTGATGCAGGAAGTCTGGGTGGCTGAGAATTTGCATGGTTACAAGTTCCTGGGTGATGCAGATTCTGTGTGTCTGGAGGTAACATTTTGAGAACTGCTGTTTCAGAAGTTCTCCACATTAAAGTCTACCAGTCCTGACTGGTACCTAAGGGGTCATGAGGTAGTCAGTGCACAAGATAGAAAGTGAAAACACTGTCTTAGAATTTAAAACAATACTTCCTAACACCAATAGGTAGCTTTTGATAAAGGAATTATCAAGCATGGCTGTATTCATTTCTTATTGCTGCTGTAACAGATTACTACAATTTGGTGGCTTAAAACAATGTAAATTTATTATCCTAGAGTTTTGGAAATCAGAAATGGAAGCCCAGGCGCAGTGGCTCATGCCTGTAATCTCAGAACTTTGGGAGACCAAGGCAGGAGGACTGCTGGGGCACAGGAGTTTCAGACCAGCCTGGGCAACATAGTGAAACCCCATCTCTACAAAAAATGCAAAAATTAGCCAGGCATGCTGGTGCACCCCTGTAGTCCCGGCTACCTGGGAGGCTGAGGTGGAAGGTTCACTTGAGTCCAGGAAGGTTGAGGCTGCAGTGAGCCATGATTACGCCACTGCACTCCAGCCTGGGTGACAGAACAGACTGTCTCAAAGAAAAAAAGAAATTAGAAGTGAATCTCACTGGGCTAAAATCAAGGAGCCAGCAAGAGTTGTGTTTTTTGTTTTTTGTTTTGAGATGGAGTCTCGCTCTTGTCACCCAGGCTGGAGTGCAATGGTGCGATCTCAGCTCACTGCAACGTCTGCCTCCCAGGTTCAAGCGATTCTGGGGAGGGGAGGAGGAGGGAAGCAAGGAGAGAGGAACGCAGGGAGCAGAGCCTGACCTGGTCACAGGGGTCTGGGAAAGACAGAGGCTTTGTTAGAGCCGGCAGCTGAGGGCCGAGGCCGAGCAGGGGTTAGGCCAGCACAGGACGAAAAGGAAGAAAGTTCCAGGTGGAGTCTGGTGGAGAAAGACCGACCTGGAAGGCACCAGCATGTGCACGTGGCAACTGAGGTCGAGGACGTGCCTGAGAGAGAGGAGGAAGGTGCCCTGCGGACCGGGTAGGGTGCGGAGGTCGGGAATGGAGAACGGTCGTTGGGCAGGTCCGGGTACCCGTAGCCAGAACCACCCGGGTGTGCGCAGCTCGGCCAGGCCCCGCCTCCCGGCGTCCCCGCCCCCTGCTGGGCCTCTCTCCGCAGCCGCGAGACCCGCGCTTGGCGCATAGGCCGGTTCTAATTTACAAGAACACCGCGGCCTGAGGCCGGAGAGTCCCTTCAACCCGGGAGGCGGCGGCTGCAGGGAGCCGAGACGGCGCCATTGCCCTCCAGCCTGGGCAAAAAGAGCGAAACTCCGTCTCAAAAAAAAAAAAACATGGCCGAAACCAGGAAGCTGCGCGATGGCGCCACGGCCCCTCTTCTCCCGGCCTGTGTCCGGAAGGTTTCCCTCCGAGGCGCCCCGGCTCCCGCAAGCGGAGGAGAGGGCGGGACGTGCCGGGGCCGGAGCTCAGAGGCCCTGGGGCCGCTCTGCTCTCCCGCCATCGCAAGGGCGGCGCTGACCTGAGGCCTCCCCGCAAAGGTCCCCGAGGCGGCGGCGGCGGCGGGCTGTGAGAACCGCAGAAGAACGCTGGGCGCGCAGCGACCCGTCCACCCCCGCGAGGAGAGACTTCCACAGAGGCAGCGTTTCCACAGCCCAAAGCCACGTTTCTAGGGTGATGCAGCCCCAGTAAGTTCCTGGCGGGGAAGCTCACGGCTGTCAAAAGAACTCTTCGCTCCAGCCGGCGCACGAAGGGGAGGAGGGCAGGAGGCTGCCGCCCGCACAGGTCATCTGATCACGTCGCCCGCCCTAGTCTGCTTTTGTGAATCTCCACTTTGTTCAACCCCCACCCGCCGTCTCTCCCTCCCTGCGCCTTCCCTCTAACCTTAAAGACCCAGCTACCTCTACGCAAATGGTAGCTACCTCTGCGCAGGTGGAAGTTGAGTTCGGTTCACGCGGGACCCTCTTCCCTGTGGCAAGCTGCTGAAGGAGACCTGCTGTTACTGCTTTAGCTGCTGTTCTGCTTAATCTCAGACAGCTGGAAGGTAGTATTCCGCCCTCGCCCAGCCACCCGAGTAAATGAGAATGATGACTGACTGAGACCCTGATGGTGGTGGCTTAGGCTTAATCTCAGACAGCTGGAAGGTAGTATTCCGCCCTCACCCAGCCACCCGAGTAAATGAGAATGATGACTGACTGAGACCCTGATGGTGGTGGCTTAGGCAAGATGAACGTCTGAAATGGAGGCCCAGGGCTGCCACGATGGCTCTGTAGTCATCAGGGAGGGAGCTCCTTTTATCTTGTTACCTACTCCCCTCTTGTGCCCCTTTCTTCCCTTGATCTAAGAAGGTTGCTCCGGATCTCGCCATCTGGCCTGCGTTCAATCAGCAGAAGCTTCCTGGAGGAGCAGGAGGAGGCACTGTGCTCGCATCACATACCAGTGGCCAGAAGTTGGCTTCAGGGAAGCTCAGGAAATAGGATGCGAGAAGCCATGAGACCTCCCCAAACTCTGCAGTAACAGAGTCAACAAGACAATGGCTTAAAGATGGAGAGACCAGTTGATCGGTCACACAAGCTGTTCCACGATAATTCTTGTGTCAGAAGGGGAGGCTGACTACCAGGACCACTGGCCCCACTTCCAGCCCCTCCATTCTGAGTACACTTCAGAGGGCTCTGGCAGGGTGAGGGGGTCTTGGTGGTGCCACAGAGAGTAAAGGTCTAGCACACCCATTGTGGAGATATTTCATGGGGACAACCCAGTGACTTCACTTGAAGTAAAGTGGGATTTTCCAACCTTGAGATTCTTATTTTCTTTGGTATGCGTGTGGAAGAAGTATGAAGGTGGGGGTTGGGAGGGAGAGCAAATGAGCTGTGTGTATGAGGAGCTGGGGCCTGGCTCTTGACAATATCACCCACCCCCACCCCAGGCTTTCCTTGGGGCAGAAAGACTATGGCCGGGGCTTTCAGTGTCGGCTCCGAGGTATAGAGGTATAACCAGTGCTTTTGGCTAAGTCACGTCACTGATGAGCTTCTCTTTCCACCTTGGCAAACCAATTCTTCTGTAAAATGGTCTTCAAAGTTTCTTTTTTAAAGCAGAGAAACTTATTTTTCAGATAAAAATTTAGATAGAACTATCGGGGGAACCCGATAGGGGCCAGATATCGGGGGAACCCACCCCCAATATTTCAACATAGGTTCTTTCTATTTTCCATAAATGTTGGCCGGCTGAGAAATAAAGAGTACAAAGAGCGGAATTTTACAGCTGGGCCACCGGGGGTGACATCACATATTGGTAGGACCGTGATGCTCACCTGAGCCGTAAAACCAGCAGGTTTTTATTAAGGATTTCAAAAGGGGAGGGAGTGTACGAACAGGGAGTAGGAACAAAGATCATATGCTTCAAAGGGCAAAAGGCAGAACAAAGATCACATGCTTCTGAGGAAACAGGACAAAGGGCAAAAGGCAGAACAAAGATCACATGCCTCTGAGGAAACAGGACAAAGGGCAAAAGGCAGAACAAAGATCACATGCCTCTGAGGAAACAGGACAAAGGGCAAAAGGCAGAACAAAGATCACATGCTTCTGAGGAAACAGGACAAGGGGCAAAAGGCAGAACTCCTGATAAGGGTCTATGTTCAGTGGTGCACGTAGTGTCTTGATAAACACCTTAACAGAAAACAGGGTCTAAGAGCAGAGAACCGGTCTGACCAAAAATTTACCAGGATGGAGTTTCCCAATCCTAATAAGGCTGAGGGTACTGCAGGAGACCAGGACGTATCTCAGTCCTTATCGCTACCGCATAGGACAGACACTCCCAGAGCAGCCATTTATAGACCTACCCCCAGGAATGCATTCCTTTCCCAGGGTCTTAATTATTAATATTCCTTGCTAGGAAAAGAATTCAGCAATATCTTCCCTACTTGCACGTCCATTTATAGGCTCTCTGCAAGAAGAAAAATATGGCTCTTTTTGCCTGACCCCGCAGGCAGTCAGACCTTATGGTTGTCTTCCCTTGTTCCCTAAAAATTGCTGTTATTCTGTTCTTTTTCAAGGTGCACTGATTTCATATTGTTCAAACACACGTTTTATAATCAATTTGTACAGTTAACACAATTATCATAGTGATCCTGAGGTGACATACATGCTCAGCTTATGAAGATAACAGGATTAAGAGATTAAAGTAAAGACAGGCATAAGAAATTATAAAAGCATTATTTGGGAACTGATAAATGTCCATATTAAAATAAAATCTTCACAATTTATGTTCTTCTGCCACAGCTCCAGCTGGTCCTTCCATTCGGGGTCCCTGACTTCCCGCAACATAGAACCCTCAAATAGATGAAGGTGGAGCTTCTTGGGTAGAGACTGGAGGATTGGGGTGTTGCCCACCGGGCCTTACGGACTCTCCTGAGTGATCTGAGTCACCTCCAAAGAGCTAGGTGTCAACTCCAAAACACCCTGTGTCCCTTTCTTCCATTTAGTAATCGAAGCCTTACCACCAGAGGTTTGGCAGGGCACGTTGAAGGGGTGGGTTGCCCCTCCACACCTGTGGGTGTTTCTCGTTAGGTGGAACGAGAGACTTGGAAAAGAAAAAGACACAGAGACAAAGTATAGAGAAAGAAATAAGGGGGCCCGGGGAACCAGCGTTCAGCATATGGAGGATCCCGCCAGCCTCTGAGTTCCCTTAGTATTTATTGATCATTTGTGGGTGTTTCTCCGAGAGGGGGATGTGTCAGGGTCACAAGACAATAGCGGGGAGAGAGTCAGCAGACAAACACGTGAACAAAGGTCTTTGCATCATAGACAAGGTAAAGAATCAAGTGCTGTGCTTTTAGATATGCATACACATAAACATCTCAATGCTTTACAAAGCAGTATTGCTGCCCGCATGTCCCACCTCCAGCCCTAAGGCGGTTTTTCCCTATCTCAGTAGATGGAACGTAAATTGGGTTTTATACCGAGACATTCCATTGCCCAGGGACGGGCAGGAGACAGATGCCTTCCTCTTGTCTCAACTGCAAGAGGCATGCCTTCCTCTTATACTAATCCTCCTCAGCACAGACCCTTTACGGGTGTCGGGCTGGGGGACGGTCAGGTCTTTCCCTTCCCATGAGGCCATATTGCAGACTATCACATGGGGAGAAACCTTGGACAATACCTGGCTTTCCTCAGCAGAGGTCCCTGCGGCCTTCCGCAGTGTTTGTGTCCCTGGGTACTTGAGATTAGGGAGTGGTGATGACTCTTAAGGAGCATGCTGCCTTCAAGCATCTGTTTAACAAAGCACACCCTGCACAGCCCTTAATCCATTTAACCCTGAGTTGACACAGCACACGTTTCAGGGAGCACAGGGTTGGGGGTAAGGTCACAGATTAACAGAATCTCAAGGCAGAATTTTTCTTAGTACAGAACAGAATGGAGTCTCCTACGTCTACTTCTTTCTATACAGACACAGTAACAATCTGATCTCTCTTTCTTTTCCCCACAGCACGTGCCCAGCTTCCTTTCAAGTCTCTGGCCAATGCAATGTGAGCAGAAGTGAAGGGGCAACTTTCAGGTGATGACTTGGAAAAGAAAGCTTAGTCCTCTGCTTCTCCTGTCACCCGAAAGAGAAACAGAGGCTTGTCTTGTTGAAGCCAGTGTGTTTGGTGTCTTTTTGTATAGTGGCTTAGACAGTGGCCTAACTAGAAGACCAAGGCTCAAAGGAACACATTTTGAGCTTCTCCACAGTTTGAGAACCTCTACATTACCTACACCAAGCCTTCCCCAGCACTCAATTTATGGAAGACCATTTCTCTTCTCATGACACATGTCCTCATGTTGCTTTGGCCTGTTTTAAAGCTTTCTCAACTCCATCTCAATAAAGAAATCTGCAGCTTTGTTGGATGAGAGGATCTAAAAAGTTCGTTCTTCCAATCGGTTGTAAATATAGACACTAATTTATAAACTGACACAGGAACACACAGCAAATTAGTAGAAAATCCGATTCCTGTTCCCTTTTCTCCTTGCATTGTTTCCTGCCAATGCTCACCATTTCTTTATCCTTTCCACTCTTCCTTGCTCCTCCTTCCCTTTAATTTTTCTCTGTTGTGCCTAAATAAGCTGTCCATGCATGGCACTCCATGGGCTCTGATAACAGACTCAACAAGACAATGACTTAAAGATGGAGTGACCAGCTGATCAGTCACACAAGTTGTTCCAGTGTAATTATTTTCACAGGTGTCTCAGTTTGGATGATAAATTATATGAACACTCTACTTACAGAACAAAGACCTTTATTTATGTCTCTCTTGCTTCAAAGTCCAAGGTGAGCATGCCTGCCTGGCAGCTCTGCCTCAATTCCTTTTAAATCATTCCTTTGTCATACTTCAGCACACTGCTGTCATCTGTATGGTTGAGCTGGACTGCTGCCATGTTGAGTCACCAGTGACTTTTTGATTCTTTAATTCCCAGTTTGACTGGCATTCCTCTGTGTGTGTGTATTTAGTTCTATGCAGTTTTATCACATGTGTAGGCTTGTGTAACCACTGCCACAGCCAAGATACAGAACAGCCAAGTTTGTTTTTGTTCACTGTCATCTCTCCAAAACCTAGTGCAATGCCTGGCAAAAAGACACTCAGTACATACTTGTTGATGGGGGAATGAATGAATGAATGGTGTGCTAATTGGGGTTTTAAGATGCAAAACCCAAGCAGTGTAAGTGAGGTACATGTGGCGGTCTAGAGGTAGGACCAGCAGGATAGCTGTGCCGTCTATCTCTGGGCCAGGCAACTGCTGCAGTCCTACCATGTCCCCAGCAGATGGGCAGGGGAAAGGCAGGGCCCAGTCTTTACAGGGGCAGGTCCTGGAGTTGCACACCTCACTTCCCCTCATATCCTACAGGCCAGAACTTAGGTGCAGGTACACACCAAGCTGCATAGGAGGCCGAGGTAGATGGTATTACTTGCCTGCAATTCTTCCTTCCCTCTTTTCTCTTACTAATGTTCACCAAAGTGGAGAGTACTTTTCCACAACTCATGCAGGGCTTTGGCCAATGGAATGTGGGCAGAAGCGAGTTTGTTAGTTCTGAGCTGAGGCCTTAGGAGGCCTCTTGTGTCTCTGCTCGTCCTCTGGCCCTGTTGCCACCCCAGGTGGTCACTGGTCCAGAGGATGAGAGACAAGTGAAGCAGCCCTGACTCGGCTCACAGCTTGAAGCAGAGCGGCCTCCACCAGCCTGCAAGAAAAATAAATGACTTTTTTGATAAGCCACTGAGAGTTTGAGGTTGCCTACCGTGAGCTCAGCCTTAACTGAGTGAGTTCTACTAGTAACGAAGGGGAGAATGAACATTTGTGGACTTCGAGCATTCTGCAGTATGAGAGGGGCCCCTCTCTGGATGGAGCAGGGAAGACCTGACCTGTAGGGACTCCTTAGGGGTCCAGAGCAAAGCCCAGGCGGCTTAGTTAGACGGCATGCTCTCCTGGGACTCTCATGGGCAGACAGACTGGAGATCAGCTGAACTGGGGCCAGCTGGAAACACCTCTGTCTGGAGACATCTTGGGGATAAAGGGAAGTTTGGGGTGGGAAGAATGATAATGGAAAGCTGCGTCCAAACAAATAAAACTGTCGCATTAACAAGTTGAAGAAGAGTTTTCCCAGTGAGTCGAGAACTGGTGCTAATAATAGAAGCCTCAAACAGCTGTGCATTTTGCCATATTAAATAGTTCATTTGTGTCTGTCTGTTGCCAGCACAGCTGTAGAGAATGATGCTGCTCCAGTTTGATCCAATACAGTATTTGGAATGCATGGAAAAGATCACTGATGCCTTTACCTGATGCCTTACCTCTGAAGGATATTTCTCCACATAATCGGCCCTCGGTTTTGTGCTGAATGCAGCTGTTGAAGGAAGCAGCTCTCTGTATTACTTGCTGATTATCCTGCCAACAGGAATTTGGGTGTGCGGAAATGGCATCAAATTCTTTCCACTGGGAAAGTGCTAGCAACAAACAAGAGGTTAAAAAGCTTTTGAAAGCACAGCAATTTGGGTGTGAATATCCATTCTGAGGTGGATGAATTAGTTCCTGATAAAGTATTGGCTGCTTATTTGAAACTGGTTGAGGAAAAGAAAACATGGCTTTAAAAAGCTCTTCAAATACAAATATATCCTCAATTTTATCTGCTTTTTACTGATATTTATCTGTCTGCCTTCTATTATGAAAATTTTCAACACTGAAAAATGTCAAAAGAAACCACAAATGCTTTTCATCTAGATTCAATGGTTGTTAACGTTTTACCATATTTGGTTTTTCTCCTCTCTCTGTCTCCCCACAAACACATGATACACACCATTTTTGAAAATAAGTTGTCAGTATGGCATCATGATCCGTAAGTGCTTCAATATGAATCTCCTAAGAATAAAGAAAATCTCCTGTATAACCGCAATACCACTATCATACCTAGGAAACTTAACAATGATTCTACAATCACAACTAATATCCAAGTCATTTTAAAATTTTTGCAATTGTACCTTAAATGTTTGTATGCAGTTTCCCCCGAGAGCTAATCAAGGCTTATGGATTCCATCTGGAGGCTAATCTGGAAAATCTCCCCCACCTTAACTTCTGTTTGGTTTTGATTTACGACATTGACTTGAGGAATCTGGGCCAGCTGTCTTAGAGAAGGTCACACATCCCTGGCTTGCCCGATTGTTTCCTGATGGTGTCCTTTAACTTTTACTTTTAAGCCCTTATAATGGAAGTTAGGTTTTAGGTTTGAATAAACTTTTTTCTTTTATTTATTTATTTATTTGGCTATAAAGAATACTTTACAGGTATTCCATGAGGAGGTCCTCACACTGGGTTTTTGCCAGCAGCGATGCTCAGGGGGATGACCTGTTGAGAAAGTAATTATTATATGTCCATGAGAAGGTACCTTTGCCTGGAACATCAACTGAGGCAAAGTTTACATGCTATTGCTTTGCAGGGTGGGGGTGCAATGCTGTGAAAGGGGAAAAATGAATTGAGGGGGAAACTACAAGATGGTCTGCTGCTGAATTAGCCACTGCTTGATAAACAGCACAGCTGGCCGCTTGGCTATGTGAGACATCTTTGGAGGTGCTGTGTAGCTCCGTTGCACCTCAGAGGAGTCCTACAAGGCAAAGCTCACGTGGTGGTAAAGCACTTGTACTTCAGGATTGTGTTGCTAGCTGCCTCGACACAGCCACTGGGAAAGCCAGTTCACCCGGGGCTCCTGCTGGACCTGGGCACAGGAGTTGCTGCAGCTCCTGCCCTGGCAGGTGGAATGACATGGCCTTGCCAAAGACAGCGGTGCCTGTCATTATAGGAGGTAAGGTGACAAGGTGGAAGCTGGAACTTTGCGGCCATCACTGGAGCTGCTTTACCTAGGATCAGGGTAGTGGGTCCCCAGGGGCAGGCAGGGTCAAATGGATGTGCTGGCTGGGTATAAATTGGATCCAACATTTTTTTCCTTTTAAATTACTGAATGATTTGTGGGGTGTACTTTGCCCCTGTAGGAATATTCTATTGCCCTGCCACGTTTATGTAATGGTTTCAGTATCCATTGATTATTCTTGCCTGTACCATTTATTACAGCAGGAGATGCAAGATATGAGGGTTAGTTATGTTCGTTACCACTAGGGTGTCATCGTACGCTTTTTCAGGAACACAACTAGGATGCTTTATTTACATATGTAATGAATATATATATAATAAAAATATATATATAATGAAATAGTATGAGTTTGTATTGCTATTGAAATTTAACATAAGTGTTTACATTATTTTTTTATATTTTATCTTTTTCCTCTTATACAGAAAAATTCCTAGTTCCTAATAATATTGATATATAGATATAGTCAGAGTAATATGTTCAAGTTACCCAAATTAACCTTTTTGTTTATTGTTGGTTTGGATCAATTTTATATAGAGTTGGTCATTTATTTCTCTTAAGGTACAATTTTAAGGCATTTTCCTTTATAAATTACTTTTATTTCTGAATATATAGAGAATAAATGGTTCAAAAATCAACATTGTGTAAAAACATTTGATCAGAGAAGTCTCACGCCTGTGCACATCCCCACCACCCTGCCCCAGTCTCCCTACAAGGATAGGTCATCAAGTTGATTCGTTTCTGGTTTTTCCTCTCCTGTGTTTCTTTTTGCAAACATGAGCAAGTACATATATACATTTTAATTTATCCTTCTTTCTTACACAAAATGTGGCGCACTATACACTCTGTTCTGTCTTGCTTCTCTCTCTTAATAATGTATGTTCAAGGCATCATTCCACATTGGTTCACAGACACCTTAAATACCAATTTTTTTTTTTTAGATGGAGTCTTGCTGTGTTGCCCAGGCTGGAGTGCAGTGGCACGATCTCGGTTCACTACAACCTCCACCTCCTGGGTTCAAGCAATTCTCCTGCCTCAGCTTCCCGAGTAGCTGGGATTACAGGTGCCCACCACCATGCCCGACTCATTTTTTGTATTTTTAGTAGAGACGGGGTTTCACCATGTTGGTCAGGCTGGTCTTGAACACCCACCTCAGGTGATCTGCCCGCCTCGGCCTCCCAAAGTGCTGGGATTACAGGTAAGAGCCACTGCGCCCGGCTTTCAATACCAAAATTTATCAATTGTTTATCATATGTCCAATGTATTAGGGTAAGCTAGACAATGCTCCCGTAGCACAAAAAAAAAAAAAAAACAAACCTCAAATTTCAGTGGCTTTACAAATAAAAGGCCGATCGCTTGCTCACATAAGGTCCTTTGTGGATTGGACAACCCTCCTCTATCTTGTAATTGCATCACCTACAACATGTATCTATATGGTGGCTTATTGGCTAGAGCCGTCACATGGACTCAAACTGGTGGCAAATGTAGTGTTATGTTCATGAAGAGGAAACTGAGAGGGGATTTGGTGGGTACTACTAGCACTATCTCAGCCACGCAAGGCTTTATATAGGCCTCACAACAGCTCTGTAAAGTAGATAATCTGATTGTTCCCATTTTACAGCTAAGCACATTGAGGCTCCAAGTATTCATATGCCTTTCAGAGTCATAGTGTTCCTGTATAACAGGGTTCATTTCAAATGTAGGTTTCTCTGCCTTTAAAGCCTGTACTTATACCCAATTCCGTGGTCAGTCATTATTGTCCACTAATAAAGAATGGCAAATCCATTTCATCCACGCATGAATGCAAATCTCCAACATAAGAGATCAGTACAATTGGTACAGAACAATAAATATTTAGAGTTAAGATTCATAAGCTGTTTTCTACAAAAAAGTGCAAGATTAAAATTAAATCCCTGGACCAATGAAGACTAAAACATTACAGGACACAATGTTTCAGTAAATTGGAAAATAAAACAGTTTTATTTATAATTTCTGAATCAAGAGCTAATTGTTATAGGAATTTTTTAAAGCTCAAAGTGAAACTGTAAACATTTTTTCTTCCTCTTCCTAAGTAAGAGCATCATATACTGAGCACATGAGAGAAGTTATAAATCTTTCAAAACCATTTGGGGTGGTTCTGAGGACTTACGTCAAGTAATCTTCAAGGATTTCAGTCTTCCCTTTAAAGGAAGAAATAAACAAAAAAATCACATGGCCATTTGGACAGTGCCTCTTGCCCAACATTATCACTTACTGCCTAAGACTCCAGGCAACAATGTGTCCAGTGTATGCTTTTAGAAAGTGATTACAACCAACTAAAACTGGGAACCCCAAATTAAAGGAAGCATTGCCGTCTGTATGCTGGGACTGTAGACTCAGTGACAAGGTAGGGTGGTTCCAGAAGAGTGATTTTCCCTCACCTGTGAGTGTGAAACTAACACCTGGCTGCTGACCCAACATCGTTTTCACAAAGAACACCCTGGGAGTTTCATTATCATATCAGGTGCTTCAGGCATTCTGGACTGTGACTACAGTTCAGGAGGACCATCAGCCAGTGTACACACACACACAAGTTTTATGAGACTAAATTCAGGCAATACACTCTGATCCCCACCCTACCCCACCCGCCTACCAGACTCTTGCCTTTCCATCAAAGCCCACTCTCTGCCCCACATAGGCCAGGTCTGTCCATCCCCTCAGGATCAGGACCTTTGGGCTTGGTTTTTCCTGTTATTCTTCTTTTTCCCACCCTACACCCCATCCCTCAACAGAAGGTCAGTTATTGTGTGGAATTGCTCGCACACCGATGTTATCATGAAGCGCTGCACTCTTCCCTGCCTTCCTCCTGTTCAGGCTGTTCCTTTAACCTTTGGCTAGAGGCAAGGATGAACGTCACCTCCTGGACAAGACTTCTCCAAGTCTTTGGCAACCAGGACCGTGGGCTGGGCTCCAGGGCCTTGCAGGGCCTCCTTCCAAAGAACCGAGTCTTTCTTCACTGGTTCTCTCCTCTCTCTCTCTGCCTGGCCACAATGCCTTCTGAGGCCTTATCACCCTTTGTTAACACTTGCTCATCCAGACTCTTCTGCCAGGGCCATCTGGGTCTTTTAAATTGGCATTAGAGTTTAAAAAAAGTCAAATCAAACTGGTATTTAACAAAAACATTGCAGGCGGTGGCTCACGCCTGTAATCCCAGCACTTTGGGAGGCCGAGGCGGGCAGATGACGAGGTCAGGAGATCGAGACAATCCTGACAAACATGGTGAAACCCCGTCTCTACTAAAAATACAAAAAATTAGCTGGGCGCGCTGGGGGGCACCTGTAGTCCCAGCTACTCGGGAGGCTGAGGCAGGAGAATGGCGTGAACCCGGGAGGCGGAGCTTGCAGTGAGCCGAGATCGCACCACTGCACTCCAGCCTGGGCCACAGAGCAACACTCCATCTCAAAATAAATAAATAAATAAAAATAAATAAAATAAAAAAATAAAAACAACAACAAAAAACTCCTAATCATTGTTAATGTGGAAATGGTTGCCACTGGAATAAATTTGAAATTATGTATTTAAAAAAATCTAACCAGTATTTAAGTTCTGCTATGTGTGCCTAACACTGTTAGGAGCACACAGTTAAGACACAAGTTCTTGCATTCAAGAATCATATTGGAAGACAAGATTTAAGTAAATGAAAGCCATTTAACGGTGACCCAGAAAATAAAATGAGTCTGGAATGATTAATAAAATCATATAATGACATTGTGTTTCCTCATCTGTGGAATCACAGAGGATTTGATCAGGTTATCCATAAAGTTCCCTCTTTTATTCCAAATAAATGACACTAGATATTTCAAATTTTATTATTTTTTATATATAACATATAATTTGTATTATACTATATAATATAATATAAAACATAATTATATAATATATTATATAATATAGGTAATTATAATATATAATTATAATATATAAAATATATATAATATATAATATATAATTATATTATATATTATATAATTATATACAATATATAATATAATATATAATTTATAATATATAATATAATAAAATAATAATATAAATTGTTATATAATAAAATAATATAACAGTACTATGTGCCAGACACCATGGCTGACAACTCTTCCAACTTTCATAAAACCATGAGGTGGCCATTATAAATCTTCCATGTGGCAGGTGGGGAAACAGGCACAGAGAGGTTAAGAATTTGCCCGTGGGCACACAGCATTGTGGTACAGTTGGCATTTGAACCCAAGGGAGATAACCAGTGTGCCATGGCATCTCTGTGTAGCCCTAACCTCATTCTTTCCCATACTTACTTTTCAAAGTGTATTTCCTTGCTTCTTTAATGGGAAAACAATGTATCCTTCTTGGGATGCCTATTTTTCTCTTTTCCATTAACCCACAAACTTGGCCTTCTCAGTTCAAACTTGTACAATTTGCAACCAAGTTTCTAACATTGTCTTGGCTGGGACTCTTCTCTAGGGATTTGGTTTACTGGAATCTACAAATTTTACTCCGATTTTAGCCGAAAGTCCTGTCTCATTCACTGTATCGCTTATCTTTTTAAATTTTCTCAAAACGTGGTAGGCAAAATCTTCATCTTGTAGCTCGCTTTTTTTCTACCCCTTTTAACATTTTGATTCCACAGCCTCCCTGGGAGGACCTCCTCATAGTGCTTCACTGAAACCTGAGTTTCTTCCATGGCTGCTCCTGTCTACTTCATCCCTGCAGCTGCTGCACATCCACCCAAGTCCTCTCAAGACACTGCTGTGGGACTGAGAAATAGGAAAAGGAGGAAAGCCAGGGACAGCTGTGCCACAGTGAATTCCAACGTAGGGCAACGAAAGCTCATCCTGACAGCGTACTGCACTTTCGAGGAGCGTGGCATTTGAGCTGGGAATAAAGTCCGAGGACATCAGGAGGTGAAGGGAGAGCTACCGCCCTGGCTGAGAGAGGGAGATGAGTCTGGGGTCTGTGTGTCCCTCAGGCCAGCCATCCCTGACCTCTACCCTGGAACAAACTGCCTGTGGTGTTCTGTATAGTGCCAAAGCCCAGAAAACAACAAATCATGATTTTTTTACTCAGAATATTCTCCTCACCTGGGTTCCAGCTGAGTAGATCTGAGCCATTTCATGTATTACATCCAGTTCCTCACTGAAATGCCAATTGTTTTTCACCCACTCGAGAAGGCAAGTCAGCTTGCTGTGCCCACAGACATGACCTCAAATGGGTTTGATTTATTTAGGCAGGTCAGTCATCTGAAAAGGTCAGCCCTTAGCAGTTCCTAGGAATTAATCAGTGGTGTGACACAACGCAGCTGTGATTGCCACAAACCAGCGACAACTGGGTAGTGGCAGGCACGGTACTAAATTATTAACCCCCAGAAGTTTGTGCCCGCCCCCCCTTTTTTTTAAACTTGCCTTGAATGCCACCTAATGAGTGCTTGCTGGGGCGTGAAACAGTCTTGAACCTACATTCTTGCATTGTTTTGGAAGGCGTCCTGTGTTGATACTGAGTGGGGGCCTCGTACAGACCACATTTTGTCACAAAATAAGGTAGAAAAGAGTGAATCATACACCTGGAAAAAGATCAGAGAACTGTGCTTTGAAAGATTAATAGATGTGTTTCCCTTTTTATGACGAATGAAGATTATTACTGACAATTATTTAAAATGTTTCTAATAATTACAATGGTTGTTCTAGTTTAAAACTCATTTCACAAAAGATAAAGAATTATACAGTTCTAATTAAGGTTTGGGAGTAATAGTTAAAACTGGTTTTCCCCAAAGTACTTTTCAACTGTTCCTGCACAAGGAGATGAGTAAAGAATTTGCTCAGGGTCTGTGATGAGCTGGACCCTGGAATGAAGACCAGAATCCAAGCTCCTGACCTCAGACCCAGCTTAGATGATAAGGAGCGTAAATACTCATACTGGAGTTTGGTTGTTCTTGAAGAGAGATTTATGATCCCCAAACCAGGAGTTCCTTTTTCCCCTGGTTGCTTTCAAGACCTTGTGGTGACCCACCTACTCCCAGGAGGCAATCCTGATTAATTTTACTGCCTCCAAACCGGTCTTTGTGTCAGCACTTCTGAATTGACTTCAGTCTTTTGTTTCTTTGTTATTTCTTAAGAGTGAATTTCCTTTCTCCATGTGACCTGAAATATCTTGAAGGCAAAAGACGCTTCTATTTATAACTGTGCTTCCTTGACCTTCCTCTCCCACCCTTCTCCCTCCATACCCCTCTTCCTGCCTCCCTGCCGCCCCTCCCCTTCCACACACAAGTGGAGGCCCAGTGCAGGAAAACCTCAGCCTCCTGGCGTCAGGAAGGTTTCAAATTCTCACTGGTAATGGACACACACCGTCTGGAGGAGCTGGGCTGAAAAATTACTGGCCTGGACAAATGCTCCTGATTTAAATGTAAATTCAGACTTAAAAAATAGACCTGGTGATATTCAGAACTTACAATATCGTTTAAACAGACTGGCTTTCTCTGTGAAGATCACTCTTTAGGAGCCCTGAAAAGGAGAGGCCAGGTGGGAAACGGGAACTATGGGAACTGCTTCCTCAGGGAGGGGAGTGCAGGGCTCTCCACCAAGTGCCCCCTGGAAGCTCAATGCCCAGCAGCGCCAGGCGCCTTCCGATTGTATCTGCGAACCTAAAGCCCTCAGATGTTTATGCAGCTCTTTGCGGTTTTAAAAGGGTTCCCACACACATGGTTTCACCTGATCCTCATGAGTGCCTTGCCAGGGGTGAAGGACAGATTTCATTATCCTCGCTTTATGAAGAGGAAACTGGATCCCTGGAGTCCACGGAAATGAGAGGAGCCAGGATCTGAGCCCACCCATAAATATTCATTGAATTGCACTAATATAGAAATATATGATTATTTTAAGGTAAACAGAATGTTTGTCCTTAAGAAGCTCATATCTAATTGTGGAGAAATGTTCAAAAATTTTTTTTTTATTTATTTTTGAGATGGTGTCTTGCTGTGTCACCCAGGCTGGAGTGCAGTGGCACGTACTCGACTCACTGCAACCTCCGCCTCCCAGGTTCAAGCGATTCTCCTGCCTCAGCCTCCCTACTAGCTGGGATTACAGGTATGCGCCACCACGCCCGGCTGATTTTTGTATTGTTAGTAGAGATGGGGTTTTACCATATTGGCCAGGCTGGTCTCAAACTTCTGACCTCAGGTGATCCGTCTGCCTCGGCCTCCCAAAGTGCTGGGATTACAGGCATGAGCCACCGCACCCGGCTCCAAAATAAACGTAATTAAAATAACCATACAAGGAATAAATAAGGCAAGACCAGACATCCTTCATTGTAAAATGAGGCGAGAAAGTGCTGTGATTTTTTAGGGGACTTAGGTAACTGTTACCCCATGATTGAATGGAACTGAAATTTCTGTATCTTCCACCCCAACTCCATTCCATGTTCCTGCTGAATATTCTGGGTTTTGCTAGAATTCCTTATGACACATAAAAAGTCTTCAGCTCTACGCCTTAGGCATGGCGATGTCTGGGTTTGTCACGTCATCTTCAGTCCTGTATTTACAGTGCAACTCAGGGCCAAAACAAAAAAGAATTTTTTTTTTTAATTTAAAAAGTCACAGGGAACATGAAAAAGGGGAAGAGGGAAATTTGTCTTCAGTGTTGCAGGAAAGTCCACCCTCTCCTTCTAGGGGTGGAACTTAGTGGATCTAATGAATCACACATGAAAAGAGACGTAAAAGAGGAAGGAGTTTCAGGAGGGTATTGGCCAGGTCAAAGGAGAGGGTGGAGGAAAAGAGCCACGAAATAACCGGGAGACAAGCTTTCGGAGGCTTTTGACTGACTGGATGTGGGAATGTTGTGGAAGACTTCTGGCCTGCCATTTCCTGAGAACGGGACTGCTGAGAGAGGAGCTGGGAGGAGCACTGCAAATTTCACTTTGGACACGTGAGTCAGAGGTATCTGTGAGGGGACTGAGTTGGGAGGGCAAGCAGGGAATTGGACATGTGGGCCTGGAGCACAGAGAAGGGACTTGAGCATGCATATTTGGGTGTTCCCTCCAAAACTTATGTTGAAACTTAATCCCCAGAGTGGCAGCATGGAGAGGTGGGGCCTTTAAGAGGTGATTGGATCATGAAGGCTCTATTCCCACTAATGAATGGATTCATCATGGGAGAACTGGCGGCTTTATAAGAGAGGAAGAGAGACCTGCGCTAGCACCTTAGCACGCTCAGTCCCCCTGCCATGTCATGCCCTGAACCCCTCAGGACTCTGCAGAGAGTTCCTACCATCAAGAGGGCTCTCACCAAATGCAGCCCCTCAACTTTGGACTTCTCAGCCTCCAGAGCTGTAAGAAATAAATTCCCTTTCCTTATAAATTACCCAGTTTCAGATATTCCTTGTTTTTAATTTTTAATTTTTTTTTTTTTTTGAGACAGAGTCTCACTCTGTCGCCTAGGCTGGAGTGCAGTGGCGCGATCTCAGCTCACTGCAACCACCGCCCCCCCGGGTTCAAGCGATTCTCCTGCCTCAGCCTCTGGGGTAGCTGGGATTACAGGCACCTGCCACCACGCCTGGCTAATTTTTATATTTTTAGTAGGGATGGGGTTTCACCATCTTGGTCAGGTTGGTCTTCAACTCCTGACCTCATGACCCACCCGCCTCAGCCTCCCAAAGTGCTGAGATTACAAGCGTGAGCCACTGCACCCGACCCCAGTTTCAGATATTCTGTCATAAGCAATAGAAACAGACTAAGTATCTTTGACATGGAGTGGATACTGGAAGCCATGTGACTTCTGTGGGATCATCTCGAAAGAAAGTGTAAAATGAGAAGACACAAGGGCCCAGGAAAGAGCCCTAGGGAACTCCGCATTTGTACAGCAAGTGGTGGGTAAAGAGAGAAAAGGGAGAAGCCTGCTAGGATGCTGAGGAGGAGCAGCCAGAGGAGGGGGAACCCCAGAGAGCGTGCTGGCGTGGGAGTCAAGAGAAGTGTGTCAGAAGAAGGGAGCGGTTGACAATGTCAGAAGCTGCCAAGAGGCACAATAAGATTGAGGGAACAAGTGAGTGTGGTTGTTTCTTTATGGGCCAGAATTTTAAATACCAGGATGAAGGGCACCTAACAAATAGCAAATACACAAACTAACTTTTGTACCTACCAGACTTCAGACTAAAATCGGTACAAAGAATACTCGCCAGGGTAAGGAGAAGCCCAGGAAATTACAAGAGATATCTAGTTTCTGAAATGAATTACAATGATCATCTGAACAAATAGTGTGAAAAAATATACACCTGAAAAAATGTGTGAAAATGGCCAACAAAACATTGAAAATCAGGGTTACTGGGGAAGACTTTTACTGCCAGTTATTAAAATTTACTATCAGCTGTATTGACTGGAACAGCTGCCAGAATAGGTAATTCAACAGCCAGGATGGGAAGCCCTGATACATAAGTTTGGTGGGGACTGTAGGTAGCCCCTCTGGCTACCTTCTTTCTAGTTGAATAGGTTACATATCTAACTCCCTTGCAATTAGGTTCACCTACTCAGGTGCCCTTGAGTTAGACTTGAAAGGCAGAAGACAGCAGAGGCCATTTTACTGCTGCTTCTGATGGAGATGCGAGGCTTCCATAGGAAAGAGGGGTCCACTGGTATAAAGAGCCCGACAACCATGTTCTCCAGATGTTCAGTCCCTCTTGGCCACCCCACACCAAATGACAGTCCGCGAGACTCTGCCCATGGAGACTCCACCTGCTGGTCCTCTAGGTGGAGTAACTGATAACAAAAATCTCTAGCTTACTCCTAAGTGTTTATTCTGAAGGCAGTATGTACAGCAAGACCAGACTTTTGGCCCAGCTAGCGGTGACTACTGCAATGTCAAAAGAGCACATAAACAGACTTAAAAAGCAAATGACAAACTGGGAAAATTGCTGTAACATAGGTAACAAAGGGCTGATATTCTATAAAGAGTTCTTGCAAATGAATAAGACAAAGATGAATCCAAGTGGGCAAAAGATATGCTGTAGGCAATCTGCAAAAGTGATGCATAAAAACAGGTTCAACATTACTAGCAATTAGTGGAATAAAACTTAAAACAACAATGCAAAACCATCGTTCTATCATATTAACAAAGATGACAAAAAATGGTGTGACAGTGCAGGGTGTGGAGAAAAGTTGGTGTCAAAGCTGTGCCATCTTTCTGTGTATCTTTCATATCAAACAAACGCCTTCAACAATGAGCACACCTTTCGACACGAGTTCCCAGACTTTATCCTAAAAAAAAAAAAAATGACGTGCACACAGATTTAGCTACAAGTAATTTTGCAAAAGTGAAAAGTTGAAAACAACCCAAATGTACAAAAATAGGGGAGATAATTATGGTACATTTGTATAATAGTATGCCACTTGGTCATTAAAAATGCCATAGAAGTATATTTTTCATAAACTTATTTCTAGCTGCTGGTTTTACAGGTGGTTTTTGCTTTTTTATTTTATCATTTATATTTTCCTGTAATTATTGCATATTTTTTAATAATTTTTTAAAACCGGCAATTATATGGTGAAAAGGAGAGAAGGGCATTAGTAAATTCTGAAGCAACTGAAATTAAATTGTAATTGCTCATTAATAAATAAACATCATTACATACTAACATTTACCTTAAATAAACTAGATTTCATTTTTCTACTATGGGAGGAAAGACCTAAAATACAAATTGACTCGAATTATAGAAAATAAAGTTACAATTCAGGAATATCTGTCTTTGGACTGTGAAATTTGTACCTGTTATGTATGTGTGTGTGTGTGTGCCTGTGTGTGTGTGCGTGTGTATAAAAAATATTTGGAAAGATATCCACTAGTTTAAAAGTGGTTCCTTTCAGCAGGGTGGGATGAGAGGGGGACAGGAGACAAATTTTTATTTACACAACTCTGTATGACTTGTTATAACAAGCACGAAAAATCGAAGGTCACTTAAGTAAAAATGGTTATAATTATGAAAATACTTAGAAATATGTAAAGTCTCTATGGTATGATTAGAAATCATAATGCAAAATCTGTATACTGTGCTTATACCTATGTTCATATATTTCCATGTGAGAGAAGCCCGAAGGGGAATACTCTGCGGTGAAAGTAGCTTTTCAAGTTCATTCATTGGTTCATTTATTCCACAAATGTGTGCTGAGCTGCTACCATGGGCCAGCCAACTGTTGCAGCCACCGGGATATAGCAATCAAAAATCAAATGTGCCTCCACTCAGGGAACTTAAATTCTAGTAGTGGGAGACAGACAATACATGGTAAACCCGGCGAGTATTTCAGGAAGTGGTGAGCGTCCTGGGAAAAGTGGAGCAGGCCAAGGGAGACTAGCAGTGCTCTGGGTCAGGGGCAGGTTTAAACAGGTTGGTCAGGAAAGGCCTCACTGAGGTGACATGGGAGGAAAGATTTGAAAGAGCTGAAGGGTTCAGTCCTGGAAATGCCTGGAAGGGGTGTTTTACAAATAGACAACAGCCGGTGCAGAGGCCAATGCAGCTAACAGAGGAAGGGGAGAGCAGGTCAGACAGCTAGGCAGGCCAGTGGGTTGTCCGGCTCTGCAGCCATTGTAAGGACTTTGGCGTTTTATTTCAAGTAAACTGAGGAGCCGCTGTGCAGTTTGGAGCACAGAAACGACAGGATCCCTGTGGCTGCTGTACGGAAACCCAGCGACTGGGAGGGTAGGGAGGGCAGGGAGACCTAGGTGTTCAGGTGAGGGATGAAGGGGGGTGTGGACATGTTGAGGTGTTGCATCCTAGACACAGATTGAAGGTAGGGTCAACAGGATTTCTAGTCAGATTGTGTAGAGGGGGTGAGAGAGTGAAGCTGGCTCTTCTGGTTCTGGCCTGAGTAAATGGAGCCGCCATTAATGCCCATGGGAAAGACAGGTGGGCGGAGAAGGTTTGAAGGTGGGGGAAGAAAGGGTCTTATTTTCTTCTTCCTTGCAATAATATATCCCAAGCAATATAATTAAGCAATATGTATTTTTCCCTTTAAGGAAATTCCAAAAATTATATCGTTCCAAATAAAAAAATCATCTCCAGAGTCCTGACGCAGCAACCATTACATTCCCAGTAATGGAAATGTTAAGTCAGTCCGTGCTCTGGAGAAATCCCACGACAGAACACAGGCCAGGAGACCGGGCCTAGATTCCGGTTTTCGAACCGTGGGGGCAAACACGGAGGCTGCAAATCCATCCCCAGTCCGGCAAGATTCTCGAACATGTCGGGAGAGGGCTGCATAGGAACTTCAAAAACGAGTAGCGGCTCCCCTGGATTCAGCGTGAGGGGGAAACCGCGGGGCAGGTTCGAAACTCAGGAGTCCGACGTCTGAAGGAGCGGGAGGCTGCTTCCGAGGAGCCCGGGGCACGACGGGAAGGGCCGCGCCGGCCAGGCAGCCCTCCTCCCGGCAGCCTCGGGCAGGCCGTTCACGCGCCGGCGACGGCGGGCCCGGCCGCAGGTACCAACAGCACCTGTCAGAGGGCAGCGCGGGCGCACCCTGCAAGGGCCCTGCCTCGTCAAGAGAGGCAGCGAGAAACAGCAGCGATGAACGAAACAAAACCTTCCTCCACCACGGCTACACAGAGCTCGCGTCCGAGGAAGCGGGAACACACAGGCCCCGGTGCTTTCCGAAAGGCTTCTCGCCAGGACCCGCGACCAGCGTGGGGCGGAGGGGGGGGGTCACCCTTTTTGAGAAACCAGGTCAAGCAGGCCGTCGCTGGGCGACCTTTGGGCGGAGGGAGAGGGCAGGGCTGCACCGCACAGGTTCCGCCCCTACTTCAGCGTCCTCGCCCCTCCCAAGCTCCGCCCAGCACCCCAAGGGCCAACCCCCCCGCGACGCATGCGTGCTTCTTCCCGCGCGGCTCCACCTGCCGCGCGCTTCCGCTGCTGGCCAGTCTCTTCTGCCCCTCCCCCTCCTGTACGGCCGCTACTCTGCGCCCGGCTTCCTTCTCACAACCTGGTTCTGCCCACACCTGTTCTTCAGCCCTGTGAACAGTGGCTGTAGAACAGTCTCAGGCCCTGCAGACCCACCTCCCTCGCTCCCGTGGTGGCGGTGGTGACGGGCTGGGGACGTTGGGTAGAAAAATGGGCGGGATGTGGAACGCTGCGTTGCCGGGGCCCACTTCCGGAGGACGGGCGGAAGTGGCTGCGGTGGATGGTGGGAGGGGGGAAGGAGTGCGAGGGGAGGGCCGGGCCGCTGGGGGTCGAGGGGGTGGGGCCTGGGCCAGCGCTGGGGATCGGGCCTGGGGCCTGGATTGCGACCCGCGGCGGGCCGCGGCTCCTAGCCGAGACGGGGCGGGCGGGAACCAGGTAACGACCCGGCGCAGTTAGAGCGAGGGTCGTCCGCAGGGCGGACGGGTGGGGGTCAGAGTCCAGGAAGGGTCGCAGTGTCACCCTCTTCTCTTGTGAACACGGGGCACGGGGTTCCGGGGAGAAGGGTGGGAGGAGTTAAATTCTTGGAGGGGGTGGAGGTCATGTGGACGCCACGCCCCTACAGGAAGGAAAGGAGAGAGAGAGTGTGTGTGGATGGATGTGTGTTGAGAGAGAGAATGGATGTGTGTGTGTTTACGAATAAACTTGGAGGGGAGGGGGCAACAGGGGTGGGTTTTCGGGCTGAGAAATGGGAACACTGTGGGGCTGCTGCAAGCAGGACTTGGGCCTTAAACATTCCAGGAGAGTGTTCTCGGGAGTAGCCCCGGGAAGGACTTTAACAGAGGTTGGGAATTACATCTCTGGCACAGTTTTGCAAGCAGAGGGGGAGCTTAGTTAAAGGAGCAAAGAATGCAAGTGGAAGATGCCAGCATCTCGGTCTGGAAAGGATTTATTAACTAGTTGAAGAGGGCTGGTGGATTAAAACACTCAGCACCCTAAGAAGCTTGGGAGATTCGATTATTATGTTGCGCTTTAGACAGGAGGGCAGGAGAAAGGGCGTTCTTTTCTCGATTTCTTAGAAGAGTCTCCGGTTACTTTTCTGTGGTGAGAACGGGTACGATCCATCTTTTATCCTGAATCATGTATGTTTGTACATACATATAATATGTTTATATTATATGTGTTTATATATGTAAACACTATTGATGAGGTGACTGTGTTCTGGCGTGTGATACGTGAGTTAAGTAGGTGCTTTGTATAACCTTGCGGAGTGTTTAACGAAGGTGTTTTGATGATAGAGCCTAGTATGGACTCTTAGGTGGGGAGTGGAAACTAGAAGGTTTTAGGACTCTATTTGGGTATCTAGATTAGAGAGCGTTATAATGTTTAAATGTTCTGCAGGTTAACACAGAAATCTGCCTCCTGGGCCATGCCGCTTCTAAGGCCTGTTTCTTCTCATGAGCCCCAGCACAAGACAGATGGGCCAGTTCTCACAGTGGATAACTTCCCCTGCCTGAGCAAGAGATGGGATAGTATCTGGGATCTGTCCATCACCAGACTCTGAGCTTAATAAGGCAGCTGAATGAAGGGAGGTAACGGACCCCTGAGAGGGGCACTGAAGTCTGCAGTGGGGGGGGAGGGGCCTGGACACACCCCTTCCCCCCCAGACTCCTCCCCGTCAGGGTCAGCTCAGCCATGGACTTTGGACCTGGATAAGAAGAGAGAAGCTGCACTTTGGTGGATCTGATTTGGGATTCTCAGTTTTGAAAATGGAGTGCTGAATGGGGATTTGATGATCTCCTGGAGAGCAACTGAGACAAGAGAAGAAAGGTAAGGCTCCTGTCTCATTTCCCACTTAATGTCTTGCTGTGCCTGTGCAGAAGGTGTTGAGCTGGCGAGTTCGCGGAGGCTACTATTCAGGAAATCTTATCCAGATGAGTACACTGGAAGCTACACCTCTCCATTACTCTGTCCAGGTATAGACTTGTTCCCAACTTCCCCTTACCCAAGCTGGATGAGTGCCTTGTAAGGGATTGTGAGCAATGGCAGTTGTGAGGTTAGGCCAAGGAGAACATGATAATAATTGAAGACTTCTGAAGGGAGGTTGGATTAGATTACCTTTAAAGGCCCTTCCAACACTGAGATAATAGGATTCCAAGTCAGTCTGGGTTAAGACTGGAATGGATTACCTAGGCAGAGGCAGCTGCTCTGTTTTGGGGAGCTAACTGAAAAGGACTGCTGGTGGGGGGAGAAGGCGGGAATGGTCTAGATAACCTCCTAAGTTGTCTCCCTTCCTACTTCTATAAGGGGAGCTTAGCCCATGAAAGCTCGGGAAAAGAGCAGAGGAACAGAACACAGGTTTGGGGGTCAGGAAGGAGTACTTGTGTTCTAGCTTTGACTTTTTGAGTCAGTGTACAACCCTACACAGGCCATGTTCTCTTCACCTACAAAATGGGGGAAAACTGACTTTCCAGGTCCCTTACAAGTTGTTACGAGGAGCAAATGAAACAAGGATTTTGAAAAGTATCCAGGGCCGTGTACACAGGAAACAATAACATCGATGTTGCTCTACGTGCCTTAAAAGCACAGAAACAACTCTGAGTCAGGAGTTCTGTTTTCTTCTTGAAATAGTGTGCTGGCAACAGCCTAAGAAGATGTCCTTAGTGAAAAGCCTGCCCCTGAATGTGTTTCATCATCTTGTTGGTAAACAGTACTTGGGATCATCAAGTTGTAGAACAGGTGAATAGATCCAAGGAGAACTTGGATTGAAGGAGTCTTGCAGATACTGCATTGGCCCTTATGGCTCTCCAGTCCAATTTCAGTGTGCCCCTTTGAGGTAGCTGATTAAAGAGGGGGTGGAAGGATGCTTAAGCCTTGAGGGCAGGTGTCTGGCTAGGCACTTTTCTTGGAGTGAGTGGTGGTCTTTACCTTCCTGTGCCATATGCTAGTTATCTCTCCCGCTCCTTAAGATGACGTTTTTTTCCAGACATCTCTTCGCCCTTTGTATTTTCTCAGGCTGTATTCCCTATAAAAGCAGCCCTGTTTGTCTTTATCTTCTCACTTCCTGTCTGCTCCCTCCTTCAATTCCAATTTACCTGTGCCAAGATGCCTGCTTTTCCCAGGGACAACACACAGCAGAAAGGAGGGGTAGAGCACAGTGTTGGGAATTTTGAGAGACAGTAGGGTATGGTGGCCTGGGCAAAGGGCAGGAGGCCTGGCTTCTGGCATGTCTCTGCCTCTCCCTAGCTCAGTAACACCTAGGCCTCACATGTTCCTTGAGGATGGGTGACAGTGAGGTCATCTGCAAACTGAAAATCCTGTACTTATGCCTTACTTTCCATGTTAAATTTTTTTCTTCCATCCCCTTCCCCAGTCTTTCCTTTTTTGCCACAGGAGTTTTCCTCACTCCCTCCAGCGGCTTGAGAGGTGGGCAGTGGCCTGGGTGGAGCTGCTGCTCCCGAGCTGTACTTTCTCCTCTGGTCTGGTGCCTGGGGCAGCCCCTTTGAGGCCAGGCTGCTCCTTTATAAGGTGTGGGTCTCAAGATGGGTGTACCACCTTCCCCAGCTTCACCCAGCAAATTTCTGTTGCCAGTCTTTGCTTAGACACAGGGGTCACAGTGATCCCTCGGGGATACGTGATGCCACGGTGCCTCCTCAGCCATCTCTGGTATCCCAGGTACCAGGGAGTTGCGTATTTGCGTAATGCTTCTATCACGTGATCCAGTCAATCTGTTTTGTCTGTTTTCCCTCACCACTTTGTTGTGAGGAGAACAGAGCAGGGATTCTTTTCCCAGTTTGAGGGGAAGCTACGGAAGCCCTGAGTGGGAAGGGTTTGCCTAAGGGTAGAGCGGTAGGCACTGAAATCACCTCCCAGTGCTGTGCTGTTTCCACAGCATCTGACCTGACCAGGCCATCTGGGTTCTGCTGCAAACCTCCAGGGAGAGAAGCTCTGTGCCCTGCCAGACAGCCTCTCTGGTAGAACGTTTCCTCCTTAGAGTGAGCAAGCATTCCTCTCCCTGACCTTCCCACCCTCCTGCCCTGCACCTGACCCTTCCATGAGACAGTCCCTTCAAGACAACCATTGGCTTTTTCACATGGGCACCAGGATGCCAAGGCATAGCACTCAGCAGGTGTCAGGCTACTTAGCCAGGAGCAGTGATAGACTTAACCAGACTGTGTGTGCATTTTTTTTTTGAGACAGAGTCTTGCTCTGTCGCCAGGCTGGAGTGCAGTGGTGCGATCTCGGCTCACTGAAACCTCCACCTCCTGGGTTCAAGCTATTCCCCTGCCTCAGCCTCCCAAGTAGCTGGGACTACAGGCACACGCCACCACGCCCGGCTAATTTTTTGTATTTTAGTAGAGATGAGGTTTCACCATGTTGGCCAGGATGGTCTCAATCTCCTGACCTTGTGATCTGTCTGCCTTAGCTTCCCAAAGTGCTGGGATTATAGGCATGAGCCACGGTGCCCGGCCGTGTGTGTATTTTAACTCAATTAATTATTTATATCCTTCTTTATTCCAAAAAGAATTGTAGGTGGCTAACCAAAAGTTACATTTCACAGACATTGTTTAGTGATTATTATGTTAATCTTTCCTCTTTGACCTGGATGAGATGAATTTCTGGGTCTCCATTGTGGGGTGAGGGAGAGGGGCAAGCAGAGATATTAGGAGGCAGGGAGAAGGGAAACAAAACACTGATTTAAAAAATTTGCTTTTACTTTTTTTTTTTGAGATGGAATCTCACTCTGTCACCCAGGCTGGAGTGCAGTGGCATGGTCTCTGCTCACTGCAACCTCCGCTTCCCAGGTTCAAGCAATTCTCCTGCCTCAGCCTCCCGAGTAGCTGGGACTACAGGTGCATGCCACCACACTTGGCTAATTTTTGTATTTTTAGTAGAGACGATGTTTCACTATGTTGGCCAGGCTGGTCTCAAACTCCTGACCTCGTGATCCGCCTGCGTTGGTCTCCTAAAGTGCTGGGATTACAGGCGTGAGCCACTGCGCCCAGCCTGCTTTTACTTTTACTGATGTTTTCAAGCCAACATATGTTTTAATTTAAGGGCATGAATTCTTTCCAAATTGTAAAAAGTGTCAGGGATCTTGGGCATGGTTTATGGGAGGGCAGTTTCCTGGAACAGTTTTCACTTCCTTTTCATCTTTTCAGTTCTCTTTTGTCAGTGGTGGAGTGGGCAGGGGAGAGTATTGTTCCTCTGCCTAATCTTGTGACTGTTTATCCTCCTGGATAATCTGGTCTAATCTTGTGACTGTTTATCCTCCTGTTTTTTCCTTTTGCACATAATCCAATCCCAGGCCCACCCCCAGAATCCTGGCCCCTTGTTTCTATCCTTCTTACTCCAGTCACTGCTCCCCATGTAACCTCTATCAAGAGCTCAGAGCCTCTTTTCCCCAGGTCAGTTTGGCACTCATTTACCCTGGTTTCTTGCCTCTCAGACCAAGTGCTTGCTTTTGCCTCCATGAAGCCCATTCTGATTCCCTAACCAGGCCCTTTCTTTTTGGGATGGTCTCTTGCAGTCCGGGAATTTCTCCTTTTGGATCTTCCTGTGAGCCTTGGGATTTCAGCCAAGGGTGGTAGAGATGGGGTGTGCGTTACAGTGCACGAACAGCCGCCATCCTGTTTCCCCTTCACCTGCCTTAGATGGAGAAGTATCAGGGTCAGTGGTGGGAATCTGATCTTCCCCCACCTTTCAGCACCCCCTGATGTCTGTCCTTTCTCCTGGAAGGTGATTTTGGCTCCTCATGTCTTGGATCTACAAACCAGTGTTTCCCAGCCTTTTCACTTTTAGGAAACACAATTGTTTTTTCCTTTACGCCTTGACACCTAGTGTGAGTGTGCAGAGCCCCCAGGCCCCTGACTCCTCCATTAGGCAAACATAGGGCAGAGGTGACAGACACTGGCCTCTGACTGGCATATCCGCCTGGGTTCGAGGCTCCTGCCACAGTGCGCGCAGTCAGCTAAAGTGGAAGCCACGGGCTTCCCGCACATCGCACACTGCACACGGCGGCCTCGGTGGGCCTGCCCTTCTCCCACTCCACCTCCAGGTCTGGGCTCTGGCCACTTAAGCGGAGGCTTCACGGCAGCGCCTGAGAGGAGACAGAGCCCTCTCAAAGCACTGGCGCTGGAGGATGTGTGCGGGGGTGTTGGGGGGCGCACAGGAGTGCCCGGTCTAAAACCTGGCTATGCTCCCCACCAGGTCTGGTGGCTTGCAGCACGTTTGCACTTACCCTGAGCCTCAAACTAGTTATCTGTAGAATGGGGATGATAACGCTCACTCCGCAGAGCTGCTGAGGCTTGAAGGACAGGCCGAGGGAGGGTTTGGCCCGTGAGGCCCCTCACCATGCCTGGTGACCCCTTAGCAGTTTTGATTTAGGTCCTCGCCTCCACGCAGGGGCCTGCGGGTGCGCGCGGCCCTTTGTTTCTCTAGAACCCTGCACGATTCGTGGTTTCATGTAGAAACAAGTTAGTGAGCAGTCAGTCAGTAACCACAGGCCGCAGAGTTCCGGGCTGCTCCGTGCTCTGGAACACGGGGGAGGGGTTGATGTCAGGGGCGTGGGTCCTGATCACATGGCAGCAGCCCTTCTTGGGGAAGTCAGCTACCCAGCAGCCTGTAGTCCTCGGCTACCCACCCTCACCGCCTGGGGTCCCATGGTGAGACAGCTGGGTGGGCATCAGGCTTCTGCAGAGGGCCAGGCCGGAGGGAGCTGGGCGAGGGAGTGGGGCTGGCTCCTGGCTTGCACCGGCCTCGTGGAATCCAGGCCTCAGACCTGATCGCTGGCGAAACTGGCTCTGTGCGCTGGAGCCCCTGGTCTTCTGCGTCTGTCCTCCTCCCGGCCAGACTTTACTCCTGGCTCAGCGACAGGTATTTGCTATGGAAGAGCTGTCCCTCCCTCCCCTCGGTGGGCCTGGGTCCACCTCCACCTCCTCTTCAGGTCCGCACCTTCCTCCCCTTTAAAACACCAGCCGGGCGCAGACCCGTTCTAGGCTTTTCCATGGTGCTTCCGCCAAAGCTTGTGACCGAGTCCTTCCCGCCTAGGGCTGGTGGGCCTCCCCTGCTGGTAGGTCTCTCTTCGCTTTCTTTACTCAGAACTGAAGCTCTCATTCCCCACCCACCAAGGAAAAACAAAAGGGAAGAAGCCACAGCTGGCCCCGGCTTGCTTTGGCACAGGTGTTTCCCCCCGGCCCCCCGTCGGGCACCCTGGTTCCTGTTCTGTCCCTGCCCCACGCGACCCTGGGGCTCCCACCCGGGCTCCTCAGCCTCCCCTGGGTTGGGGTGGGGGGACTGGCTCCCAGCCCTTGGCCTAGGGTTTGGTGAACGCCTTTCCTGGACTGCGGGCCCACTTCAGGCGCGGCTCCAGGCTGGGCAGCTGCGCTGGAGGGCCGAGGGCAGGGGTGGGGTCGGGCGTCCACCCTCAGGGTTGCGCCAGGGAGCCGGAAAGCCGACTCCCGAAGTTGGGGTCCTGGGAAAACTTGGGTCCTGGGTTGACTGAGAAGCGGCGGGGAAAGGAGGCGGGCCAGGAGGAGGGGGCCTGGCGGACGCCGGCCGGGGGGCGGGGCGCGGCGGGGCTGTCGGTCACGCCCCTCAGTCCGCCCCGCCCCGCCCCGCCTGCCGGGGAAGGGCCACGTTGCCCGCCCGGCCGTCCGGCCCCGGCGCGCCGCAGAAAGGGCTGGCGAGTCGAAAGGCGAGGCGGCCGCGGCAGCGCTTGGGACGCGCCTGGGCACCGGGCTCGCTCCCTGCGCCCCGGAGCAGGCCAAGTTCGGGGCCAGGACGTCGGGAGGACCTGGTGAGTAGGTGTCCGGGGACGGAGGTCAGACCGGGGGAGGCCTCGCGGGCGCCGAGAGGGAGCCCAAGGGACGTCGGGTCGCCCCAAAGCCCCGGTGCCCATGAGTGCTAGCGAGAGGGGGCTTGGCTGGGGAGCGGCCCGGTCCGACCCGGTGCCAGCTGCGCGTTAGTCCCTTCCCGAGCCGAGAGGTTGGAACTCCGCCTTCTGCTTTCGGAATCCCGGGCCTCCAGCTGTTAGAGGAAGGGCGGGCTCCGCGGACTGGGGAGGATGTTGTGAAACTCGGCCCCGGGCGTCCGTGCGTGCGGGGCAGGGAGGGGGTGGGATTGGGGAGTGGCCTTTCCCCCCTAACCTCACTCCAGCATCCTTTCCCCAAGTTAATAGAGGCTGATTCTCCTCAGCAGAAAGGAAATGTTGATTCAGTGTTGAAATATATATATAATAAGTTGGCAAGAAAACTTTTCTTCCTGTTTGCTAACGTGTGTGGAGTAGAGAGCCCCGGGACGTGCAGTGCCCGCGTCTGATAAACTCTGAAGTAGAGGGACTGTGGCTGGCCGGCTCCCTGAAGGCTGAAGCTTCACTTTGGTTAACCCTTGCTGCTGTAGTGGGTCTGCCGTTTTGTTTTAGAACATCACTGGCTGAGATGTTGCCCAGCTTTATTTTCAGTCATTTACGGTATTTTTTCAGGCCGTGTAGCCTTTGCTCTTACGTGCTCACATCATCCAGGATCTGCCTTCCATCAGCAATCACTGCGTCCTGGTCCTTCCCAATTCTGGGGACCATTGAGCTCACCCATTTCCCTGCTTCTGTGTCTCATTCTCACTGTTAGAAGCACTGCGGTATGCCTGACCTCAGTGGCCTGTGTTAACAAGGGAAACTCATTACTGTTCGGGGCAGTAGGGAAATTGTCACTGTCGTCAGTATCCAGGCAGTGGGACCTTGTGATGAACCAAATCAACCCTGTCACCTTATAGATGAGAGAACTAAGGTACAAGTGGGTCAAGTGACTTGTCCAAAGTTGCCTGGCTTGCTGGCTGGATCGCCTGAATCCCAGGCCTCATGCCTTTTGTGGCACTTGTATTTAGCTCTTCTTTTCCAGGATGAATAACCTGCATCCCTTCCCTCCTAGGTCTTATTCTCTCAACTCTTGAATTATTTAGTGTATCTTCTCTGACTACCTTTCTTTTTTTTCCGTCCTGAAATTATGGGCCTGGTACATGATACAGGAGTCCAGCCAAGGTCTAAGAACGAACATGAAAGCAGTTCAGTTAGAGTTCCATTACCTGTGACATGTCTATATTTTCTGGAATTTTTACGTAGTGCTTTTTAACTTTAAGCAAAGCAGAGATAGAAGGGAAAATCTGTTACCATTTCTTCCACTTCTGTACTTAATTTTACAGCTAAATATAACTTCTCGCTTATTGCTCATGATTGGAAGTTGACTATCTGGTGTTCACTTGCTATTTAAGAAACATTTTTTGCCAGATAAAGGAAATAGGCTGGAGAACACCATGGTATCAGAGTGTTAGAAAGGATCTCACAGCTCCTAGGCAGTCCTTCAAATGCTTCAGAAACTGAGTGAGCCCCATAGGGGCAGGTGGCGCCTACCCAGAGCCACCTCGGTTTTAGCTGAAGGGTTTTGTACTGAAAAGACTCACTTCTCATCTCCCACCATGGTGCAGATGTCTTTGTACCTGGTGGTGTGGATTGGCTGTGTCACCTCCCTAAAGGAGTTGTGAAAACTCTAGAAAGTCAAAGCCAGTTTTGAGTCTGTGCCTTGCATGCCAGTCTCATAAATGACATCATTAGGAACTCAGGTCAGGATTAAGGGCAGTTGTTCTATTTAAAAAGGAAGGTGTAGCAGATTGTATTTTCCCTCAAGGGCCTCACCCGTAAGTATCCCCTTCCACATGTAGTTATAGTTTGACATTGTCCACTTCCCACCTAGTGGTGGGGTTTATGATTCTCTCCCCTTGCATGTCAATAGGGACTTGTGGTTCCCTTGACCAGTGAGTAAGACAGACCTGATCCAAGGCTGAATCAGGAACAGGATACACTTTCACCTGGCTTGCCCGCTTTCTTGGAACACTCACCTTTGGAATGCAGCCACCACTTCCAGGACATTTCCAGGCCACATAGAGGGGTTCTAGTGAGCACTCCTGCTGATAAGGTCTCAGCTGCTGCCAACATCATCCTACAGACATGTGAGAGAATGTGAGAGCCTCTAGGGGCATCTGGCCCTCAGCTTTTGAGTCTTTCAGCAAGGCCTCAGGCATAGTGGAGCAGAGACACGTCATCTCCTCTGTGCTGCACTGTCCACATTTCTGACCAATAGAAACTGTGAGGAGTAAGTGATAACTATTGTTTTAAGCCACTAAATATCGAGGTAATTTATTATGCAGGAGTAGATACCTACTAAGGAAGGAGACATGAGTGGAGACAGGGCCTCAGTGTTTGGACTTGGAGCTGAGCACAGAGGGCAGGGAGGGCACTTGCCCTGCTTGTCAAGATTATCTAGAGTCTGTTTCTCTCATTGCTTCAGGTACTGATGGCTGCATAATGAGTCACCCCAGAACTTAGTGGCTTACAACAACAGAATCATTTTATTAACATCTCAGCTATGTGGTTCTTGCTTGTGGTCTTTCACGCCATTGCAGTCAGCTGGGGCTGGGATAATCTGGAGGGCTGTCTCCTGTGTCTAGCGGTTGATGCTGGCTGTCAGCTGGGACCTTAGCTGGGGTGGTCAGTTGGAATACCTATGGGGGTCCTGTCCATGTAGCAGTGTCCTGTCCATATAGCAGGGTCCTAGGAGTCAGCATCTTAAGAGGACCAGGTGGAAACTACTGCCTTTTATGAGTTAGTCTCACAAGTCACATAGCATCTCTTCCCAGAACCAAAGGGAGGGAACATAGACCCTCAGCTCTGGAGGCAGGAGTGTCTTTATCACTTGTAAGAAGAGCATATGGAATGGGATATGTGCGGTCATCTCTGGAAAATGTCACACTTCACTCTCTTGCTGCTGCGTTGGCCATCTTTCTCCCTGATTTCGGTAATAGTGCAAGCAGTCTTCCATCCAGCCACTTGAACCTCATACATGTGCCAAGCACTGTGGTGGGCACAGAGGTCATAGAGTCTTTTTTCCTAAGGAGGAAGGTGGGAGTCAGGTCAGCGTGGCCACAGATTCTGTTACAGCGTGGAGAGAGTGCTGTGGGAGTGTAGTCATAGGGAGGCCTGGCTCTGTCTGTGATGTTACAGAAGGAGTCACCTGAAGTGGCCTGAAAGGATGTGTGGGTGGCTGGCAGGTGGCGCTGTGGGTCAAATTCCAGGATGAGGGACCAGCTGGAGCAGAGACACAGCAGCGTCCAGGTATATGCTTACTGGGGAAAAAGCAGCCTGCTGAGGCCAGAGTGCAGGGTCCATGGGGTTAGTGGTTGGAGGTAAGGTTGAAAAGGGATGTTTCAGACAGTCTGTCTGAAGGGCTTTGGATGTCATCATAATGAGTTTGAGTTTGAGTTTGTGGGCAGTGCAGCCTCTGATGGTTTTTAAAGCAAGTTAATGTCGTGACCAGGTGTACTTGTCAGGAAGGATGCGCTGTTGCTGTTGGGAAGGTTTGTGAGAGGGAAGCAAGATTAGTGACAGGTGGACCAGCTGGGAAACTACATCAAGAGTCCAGACTTAAAACAGTGTTTCCTACGAAGGAATGAGTTCAGGTTAAAGGGCTGGAGGGCTTGACATGGGATGCTAGCAGTCAATGAGTAACTTTGTACTTCCATTTTCATAGTTTTGAAGTTCTTGGTCCTAGATGTATTTCAGAATTGAGAATTTTTTGGATTTTGAAAAGATGATCTGGTGAATTTACTCTGTAGTGGAAGATCAGAAGCAGCATGGCATAAGCCACCATGTTTATTTCTGTAGCAAAATGTATGAATAGCCACAGCAGGAGAGAGAAAAGACTATAAATAGCCCCATATTAGATCAGATCAGATTTTACCAAATGAGGCTGGATGAGGTTTTACTGCCAATTGAGTTTAGAAAACTTCTGTGTTTTAGTGCTTCTTGGATTTGGCAGTTACAGTTGAGGAACTGTGGATGTTTTTAGATCCCAGGCACATCTGCTGAATGTTGAGAGCCCTAGCACAGCGGCTTGGCAGTGCTGGTGGAGCCAATCCCTGTCTTCATGTAGCTTGCAGCTGAGGGGGCCTGAGAGAAGTTGAGCAAGTGGTTGCGCTTGTTGCTGTTGGTGAAGGGTAGGTGGACCTTACATGGTCCCAGGCGTCAAGGAAGGCATCTTGGCAGAGACACGAATCAGAGTGTGCCAGGTGAAGAAGATAGGGAAGAGCAGAGCTGGCACATGGGCACATGCAAAGACCCCGACGGTAGGCTTGGCTGTTGGGGTACCAGACGGGAGTGTGGTAGAGTGGAGCAAAGAAAATGGGGAGAAAGGAGTGAAATAACGGCCGATATTTACGTTGTCATGCCGGCACTGTTCTAAACACCTAACATGGCTCATCTCATCCGATCTTCACAGCAACCCAGTTTGAGTCTCAGAAATGTGGCAAAACGTAGGGTGATGCCTCTGGGCTGTCTGGCTTGCCTTTGTTGCTGCTGCACTCTCCTGATGGTGGCCTGAGCAGTGCTTCCTGGAGAAGCAGGTCACCGCTGCTGGCCAAGGTCTGGGCTTGATCATCCTTTTGGGCACAGCCAGTTGTGAGAGGGTGTATGGCTCCTGGTTCATGTGTGTGCACACAGCACTAACTTCCAGGCAGAGCTGAGGATCCTATCCCAGGAACTACGTGGATAAACAGTAGGAAAATAGCACTGGGGCCCAGGCTGAGCCTAAGGAGGTGGGCTGGAACTAGGGGTGTCATGTCCTCTTATGGCAACAGGAGCAAGTTTGAAGCACAGGGCTGTGGGGTGGAGAACAAGGGCCCAGGGATTGATTAAGGTGGAGGCCAGGGCTTGGCCGGGGCAGCTTTTCCTGTGGGCTCTGCAGCCACTCCATGTGTGTGCAGACTTGCCAAGTAAAAACTCAGTCAGAAGACTGGTTTGCTCTGCATGGCTTAGAAGGGTGGGGCAGGAGGTCCTAAGCATCAGGTAGTGGGTGTGGGCCACCAAATTCTGATGTCTGGAGAAGAGTAAAAAGGCATCTAAAGGGTGCAGAAGTTATCTCAAGGGTCCCAGGAGGCTTTGCCATAAGGGCCTGCAGGTCATTGATGAGTCAGGGACGGGCTATCCCTCTGGGCCCCCCCCCCCTTTTTTTTTTTTTTTTTTTTTTTGGTGGGGGATGGAGTCTTGCTTCATCATCCGGGCTGGAAGGCAGTGGTGCCATCTCAGCTCACTGCAACCTCCGCCTCCCAGGTTCAAGGGATTCTCCTGTCTCAGCCTTCTGAGTAGCTGGGATTACAGGCACGCACCACCACACCCGGCTAATTTTTGAATTTTTATTTTAGTAGAGATGGGGTTTCGCCATGTTGGCCAGGCTCCTGACCTCAGGTGATCCGCCTGCCTTGGCATCCCAAAGCGCTGGGATTACAGGCTTGAGCCACCAAGCCCAGTGGGGCCCCACCCTTCTAAGCCATGCAGAGCAGCACTTCACTGAATAGAGTTCAGTCCCTCTTCTCCATCCCCATCCTGTTATATAAAGTCTTTTTCTTGCACAGTCATTTAGGAGGTGGGAAGTTGGGAGACAGGGAATCCTGGCCATTAGATTGGAGGGAAAGTTCCAACATGGACAACATCCTGAGGGGAGAGCGAAGAAGAAACTGAAACTCTTCTGGGCCCAGTGGCTCACACCTGTAATCCCAGCACTTTGGGAGGCTGAGGAGGGTGGATCACTTGAGGTCAGGAGTTCAACACCAGCCTGGCCAACATGGTGAAAGCCCGTCTCTATTAAAAATACAAAAATTAGCTGGGCGTGGTGGCAGGCACCTGTAATCCCAGATACTCGGGAGGCTGAGGCAAGAGAGTCGCTTGAGCCTGGGAGGCAGAGGTTGCAGTGAGCTGAGATCATGCCACTGTACTCCAGCCTGGGCAACAGACAGAGTGAGACTCTGTCTCAAAAAAAAAGAAAAAAAACTGAAACTCTTTTGTGCATCACTCTTTTCTTCCACATAAACTTTCTTAAAAATCAAATATGGGGATATGGCCCACAGCTCTGAGTAGCTTCATCCATCTGTATGGCCCCAGCTGGGCACAGCAGTAAGGCCAACTGAAACGACGTTTGCCCTGAATTTCTCGGTCACTTGACAACATGTATCTAATTGATACATAATATTTGAGCCCTGATATAATAGAATTTAATTGCACAGTTACATGGAAACAGACTTGACGTTTCTGAGAAGACTGATGTCCTGGCGTGGTGGGGGTGGTTGGTTTCTAGGAAGAAGACAAGTGGTTGGTGGTGAATGCTGGCAGGGGCTGGTGAAGTCTCCCCAGGAGGGAGACAGAATCCATGTCTCTTTAGAGGCCCTTCAGGATCAGCCCTTTTATACCAGATCTGCTGGTTTGAGAGCCCAGAGCCTCAGAGGTTAGATCTGAGGCCCAAGGTTTTGGCCAGGATTAGAGAGTAGCCTGTGAGGCAGAGGGCAACTGGCAGAGCTGTTGGTGTAAGAGGGTGCACGCCTGAAGCTTTGGGGTGTAAAGGGTAGACCAGAGGCAGGACAGTCAAGGAGTTATGGTCTGGAGTGGCAGCTGGCTGGGAATTGGGGAGTGTTTCAGATCCTTTCAAGTAATGTGGTCTGGTAGAGCTTGGAGGATTGGTGGGACCATGCCTTTTTCTCACTGGTTTGTGTCCTGGTTCCTTCCCAGAGCCTGGCAGAGAGCAGGTGTGTGATACACGTCGTCAGGTGACTGACCGAGGAATTCAGGGCAAACAGATCATCTCAATTTGCCTTGCTGATGTGCCAGCTGGGATTACGCTGATGGATGAAGCTCTTCAGAGCTATGGGCAATATCTACATATTTGATTGTCAAGAAACTTCGTGTGGAAATAGCTTCAAACTTACACAAATTGCAAGAATAAAAAATAGTATAAGGATATTCGTACACACTCTCTTTACTCAGATTCACCTGTTAATATTTTGCTCCATTTGCTCTCTATGTGTGCAGAGTATGTTTTTGTTCTGAACCATTTGAGAAGTTGCATCTATCCTGGTCCTCTACTTCTCAATACTTCAGTGTGTATTACCTAAGAATTGGAATTAATCAGTTATCACTGATACTTTAACCTACTGTCCATATTCCACCTTTGTCATTTTACCCAATAACGTCTTTTTAAAAAAAGTTTTTTGAGGTTTCATTGACATACAATTGATATCAATATGTGCAAAGAACTGCATATAAAGTGTACAATTTGATAAGTTTTGACATATATGTGTGTGTGTGTATATATATATATATATATATACCTGTAAAAGTATCACCACAATCAAGATAATAAACATATCCACCCTTCTAGAAGCTTCCTAATGCCCCTGTGTAGTAACTACCCTACTGCCCTTCTCTGCCTCCATCCCCAGGCAACAACTGATCTGCTTTCTGTAATATAGATTAGTTTCTATTTTCGGCAGTTTTATGTCAATGGAATCACAGTGTATGTGCTCTTTTTTGTTTTTCCCAAAAAGACCCATATTGTGTAATTATTTGGAGATTGTGTTGTGTATGTCAGTGGTTTATTCAGTTTTATTGCTGAATATTATTCCATTCTATGAGTAAACCACAATTTGTTTATCTGTATTTCCCTGTTGATGGGCCTTTGGGTTATTTCCAGTTTTGAGTGATTATGAATAAAGTTACCATCAACACTCCTGTGTAGGTTTTTGTAGGGACATGGCTGAAAGTAGAAAGAAATGGGGCATGCAGGAGAGACTGGGCTTGGTTATAACAGCCTGTTATCCCTGGGGAACTAGCTCACTCACCAGAGGACGTTAGGAAGGATCTGCCCCTGCCCCCCTTGTGATCCAAACACCTACCACTAGACCCCACCTCCGGCAGCACCACCACACAGGGGATCAAATCCCAACATGTGTTTCAGAGAACAAACCATATTCAAGCTATAGCATAGCTACGTAATTATTATAACACTATTAATAAGACCATCTTTGCCTTGGGAATTTTAAGTAGCACCTTTATTACATATTAGATTTTTTTGTGTAATGAGTCTGTTTCTGGAGCTTAAATTCTATTTCACTGGATGGTCTGTTTATTTATGTACCAGTACCACGCAGTTGTAATTATGGAGGTTTTGTAGTATGCCATATATATATATATATAATAAAAAAAAATTTTTTTGAGACAGAGTCTCACTCTCTTGCCCAGGCTGGAGTGCAATGGCACAATCCAATCACAGCTCACTACAGCCTCAGCCTCCCAGACTCAGGTGATCCCATCTCAGCCTCCTGAGTAGCTGGGACCACAGGTGCGTGCCACCATGCCCAGCTTTTTTTTTTTTTTTTTTTAATTGTTACTTGTAGAGACAGGGTCTCCGTGTGCTGCCCAGGCTATTCTTGAACTCCTGGGCTCAAGTGATCCTCCTGTATTGGCCTCCCAAAGTGCTGGGATTGCAGGTAGGAGCTACTGCATCTGGCCAGTATGCAGTATTTTCATATCTGGTAGGGCTGAGTCCCTCCTCACAGCTTATTTTTATTGTTTTCCTAGTTTTTCATGTGAACTTTACTGTCAGTTCGTCTAGCTCCATAAAAAGGTATTTTTATTGGGATTTTTGATGATGCTGAAATGTCCTGACCAAGAACAAGGGATATTCAGATGTTCTTTTGTGTCTTTCAGGAATGATAGTTTTGTTCACATAAGTTTTGAATGTTTAAGTTTATTTAAGTTTATTTCTAAATATTTTCTCATTTCTCTGGCTTTTGTAAGTAGGGTTTTCTCATCCATGTTTTCTTCTCATGAGTTATTTGTGGATATGAAGGCTATCCATTAGTATATGTTGATTTTTATATTACACTTCCTTGCTCAGTTCATTATTGATTCTTTTTGAGTTTTCCAGGCATATTCTCACAAGTAAAGATAATAGAAATAGTTTGCTTCCTTTCCACTTCTGCTTTGAATTTTTTTTTCTTGGTTCATTTGCATTGGCTGCTTCCTCCAGCAAAATGTTAAATAACCCTGGAGATGATGGGCAACTTCGTTTTGCTCCTGACATTCGTGGGGTGCCTCTGGTGCTTCCCTGTTGGTAAGGGGTTAACTGTAGCCCTGAGGTGGGACATTTGATTTTAAAAATCAGTCATCTTGGGGCGCTTAGGTTAGAGGAATGGTAGGCAGATGCTGTCACTCCTTGCCCCTCCCCTCCTCCTTCCCACCTGGAGGGGAAATGAAATCTGACAGGTAGAAAGAGGGGAGTTGGGGTTCTTTTTCTCTCTCCCTCCACCAGCATCACTCTCTGCCTCTCCCTCAAAAATACGTTCCTGGGTCAGGATATATGTTGACTCCCTAGAGAGCTCTGGAGTCAACCTCCTGGCCTTCCTCCACCCTCACTCTTGGCCTTTTCCTGCCCCCATTTCCTCTACCTGTGGGGCATGGAGCCACGAGCCTTTGTGTGACGGTTTGCTTTCTCTCTCCTGTCTTTAGGTGCATGGCTGCCTCCTAATCCCATAGTCCAGAGGAGGCATCCCTAGGACTGCGGGCAAGGGAGCCGGGCAAGCCCAGGGCAGCCTTGAACCGTCCCCTGGCCTGCCCTCCCCGGTGGGGGCCAGGATGCTGAAGAAGCAGTCTGCAGGGCTTGTGCTGTGGGGCGCTATCCTCTTTGTGGCCTGGAATGCCCTGCTGCTCCTCTTCTTCTGGACGCGCCCAGCACCTGGCAGGCCACCCTCAGTCAGCGCTCTCGATGGCGACCCCGCCAGCCTCACCCGGGAAGTGATTCGCCTGGCCCAAGACGCCGAGGTGGAGCTGGAGCGGCAGCGTGGGCTGCTGCAGCAGATCGGGGATGCCCTGTCGAGCCAGCGGGGGAGGGTGCCCACCGCGGCCCCTCCCGCCCAGCCGCGTGTGCCTGTGACCCCCGCGCCGGCGGTGATTCCCATCCTGGTCATCGCCTGTGACCGCAGCACTGTTCGGCGCTGCCTGGACAAGCTGCTGCATTATCGGCCCTCGGCTGAGCTCTTCCCCATCATCGTTAGCCAGGACTGCGGGCACGAGGAGACGGCCCAGGCCATCGCCTCCTACGGCAGCGCGGTCACGCACATCCGGCAGCCCGACCTGAGCAGCATTGCGGTGCCGCCGGACCACCGCAAGTTCCAGGGCTACTACAAGATCGCGCGCCACTACCGCTGGGCGCTGGGCCAGGTCTTCCGGCAGTTTCGCTTCCCCGCGGCCGTGGTGGTGGAGGATGACCTGGAGGTGGCCCCGGACTTCTTCGAGTACTTTCGGGCCACCTATCCGCTGCTGAAGGCCGACCCCTCCCTGTGGTGCGTCTCGGCCTGGAATGACAACGGCAAGGAGCAGATGGTGGACGCCAGCAGGCCTGAGCTGCTCTACCGCACCGACTTTTTCCCTGGCCTGGGCTGGCTGCTGTTGGCCGAGCTCTGGGCTGAGCTGGAGCCCAAGTGGCCAAAGGCCTTCTGGGACGACTGGATGCGGCGGCCGGAGCAGCGGCAGGGGCGGGCCTGCATACGCCCTGAGATCTCAAGAACGATGACCTTTGGCCGCAAGGGTGTGAGCCACGGGCAGTTCTTTGACCAGCACCTCAAGTTTATCAAGCTGAACCAGCAGTTTGTGCACTTCACCCAGCTGGACCTGTCTTACCTGCAGCGGGAGGCCTATGACCGAGATTTCCTCGCCCGCGTCTACGGTGCTCCCCAGCTGCAGGTGGAGAAAGTGAGGACCAATGACCGGAAGGAGCTGGGGGAGGTGCGGGTGCAGTATACGGGCAGGGACAGCTTCAAGGCTTTCGCCAAGGCTCTGGGTGTCATGGATGACCTTAAGTCGGGGGTTCCGAGAGCTGGCTACCGGGGTATTGTCACCTTCCAGTTCCGGGGCCGCCGTGTCCACCTGGCGCCCCCACTGACGTGGGAGGGCTATGATCCTAGCTGGAATTAGCACCTGCCTGTCCTTCCTGGGCCCCTCCTTGCCACATCATGAGCTGAGGTGGGACCACAGTCCCCAGGCTGCATCGGCCTGCCTGTGTTTCCCTCTTAGGTGCATTTATCTTTTTGATTTTTCCGAGTGGCATTTAAGTGCACAAATGATAACAAGAGGATTATTCTCCCGTTCTCAAGGGAGTCAGATCAGGGGAACTATTCTAGGGTATGTTGCGGGGTATTAAGCAGGAAACCACTGTGTGGTGGGGGGCACTGGGCTTGTTGGGGCCAGAAATGTCCACGTCCTGAGCTTTCTCCTGGAGCATGTGCAGAGAGTTTGGCAACGTTCGCTCTCTTGACCAGACCCCTTCTCCCTGACCTGGCTCTTCCAGCCAGGGCACGAGCCCTCCTTCTATACCTGCTCCCCTTCCCCCAGTGGGGACTGAGTTATGGGAGAAGGGGACATATTTGTGGCCAAAATGATACTAACCAAAGGGGCTTCCTTGTCAGGGCCTGGTGGAGTTGGTGGGTCATCGGGGCTCACTGCCTCCTGCCCTTCTCTCCTGTCTGACCCCCACTTAGCCCTTCTCTCCTTGCAGCCTAGCAGTTTATAGTTCTGAGATGGAAAGTTGAAGGGGGCAAGCAAGACCTCTCCTCAGCCCATGCCCAGCTGTCAGGAGAGAGGTGCAGGGAGGAAGGCCTTGTGCTGGGACAACCTCTCTCTTGCCTTACCTCAGAGAGGGACTATGCCCTGACCCCTCCTTTCTGAAAATCAGTGCCCTCCCTGTTGCTCTAGGAGGCTCCTGCTGGCTTGGTAGAAGACAGAATTCGATCTGCCTGTCCCTTTTTCCCCTGGGGTTTGACACACAGGCTCCTCTCAGCATGAGGTGGAGCAGTGACCAGGTGGAGCAGTGACCAGGACGCCTCTGGCCCAGTGCTGCCCAGCCTCCCCGCCCGCTCCCAGGCGCCCCATGTCCTCACAGGCCAGGACGCCATGGCAGGATGGAGAGGACTTGGTGGATTTTTGTTTCTTGCCTGACCTCAGTTTCATGAAAGAAAGTGGAAGCTACAGAATTATTTTCTAAAATAAAGGCTGAATTGTCTGAAAAATATTTATGTGTGTGTGTCCTGGAAAAGGAGGTGGCAGGCAGGGAAAGAAAGGAAAAGGGAGAATGAAGAGTTAAGGAGAGGGCTAGACGGGTGGGAGGAAGCAAAGTTGAGGAAAGAAAGCAGATGAGTGGGAGGGAAGAGCCAGGGACAGCCCAGGGGATGGGGGCCAGGTGGGAAAGGAAGTCCAGGCCACAAGGTGGAGAGGAGCCCCGGACTGTGCTCCTGCTGATCGTCCTGTAGAGCCAGGAGGCCGCAGCAGGAAAGCTGGTGAGTGTCTCCTGCTTCTGCCTCCTGCTGGCTGGGCAGGCCTGGTCTGGGGAAGAACCAGGTCCTCTGATCAGGGTGGTCCCTGAGTGGTGCTTTGTGCCCGGTGCCCTCTGCTGGCCCAGGCAGTGCTTATTGAGTGCCCTTTATGACGTGCCGGGGAGCCTCAGGGTACACAGCTGATACCAGGGTTGGCCTCACAGTGGCGCTTGGACTCCCAAACGCAACCCCAGTGAGAGTGCCTGTTTTGCTAATACCCAGAACACAGACAGACTGTTACCTCTGCATATCACGTGCAACATTCTGAGAGTTTCTGTTCTCCACTAATTCATTTAAAAGAACAAAACGCGGCCGGGCGCAGTGGCTTACACATGTAATCCCAGCACTTTGGGAGGCTGAGGCGGACGGATCACGAAGTCAGGAGTTCGGGACCATCCTGGCCAACATGGTGAAACCTAAAAATACTCTACTAAAAATACAAAAACTTGCTGGGCATGGTGGCACACACCTGTAATCCCAGCTACTCAGGAAGCTGAGGCTGGAGAATCACTTGAACCCGGGAGGCAGAGGTTGCAGTAATCCAAGATCATACCACTGCACTCCAGCCTGGGCGACAGAGCAAGACTCTGTCTCGGAAAAACAAAACGCTTTTTGTGACTCACGAACTTGATTTCATGAGTGGGTTTGAAAACCCTGGGCTAGTCCAGGCGCGGTGGCTCACGCCTGTAATCCCAGTACTTTGGGAGGCTGAGGCGGGTGGATCACTTCAGGAGTTTGAGACCAGCCTGGCTAACATGGTGAAACCCCATCTCTACTAAAAATACAAAAATTAGCTGGGTGTGGTGGCACATGCCTGTAATTCCAGCTACTTGGGAGGCTGAGGCAGGAGAATTGCTTGAACCCGGGACGGGGTGGTTGCAGTGACCTGAGATCGCACCACTGCACTCCAGCCTGGGCGGTAAGAGCGAAACTGCGTCTCAAAACAAAACAAACCAAAAACCCTGGGCTAGGCAACTTTCTTGGCAGAAACTACTTTGGAGCTCGACACCAGATGGTGGCAGAGTTGTCTGGGGAGCTGTGTCGAGGGCCGTGGCCTTGGGAGCAGCTCCAACCTCCCATCTGGGCTCAGAAACCAGTGTCAGACATTGGTTTTATTTTAACCTTTGAGATTTGTGTGGAGCGGGTTTTGCCTTCCCCTGTTGCTTAGATGGATTATTTAGCCATATTTTTTGTTAAATAAGGGGAGGTGGTCATTATCCGTGATTTCAGACGTGGAATCGGCCCGGCGATAGCTGCATTGTGCCCTTTCCGGTGGAGCCAGGAGGAGTTTGGCCGCCACGCTCCATGCGCATAGCATGTCATGCAGCTAGCCAAGTGCATTGTTCTGAGTGCTCCAGGATAAGTACCAACTTACTTAGTGCTCCAGGATAAGTACCAACTTAGTGCTCCAGGATAAGTACCAACTTACTTAGTGCTCCAGGATAAGTACCAACTTACTTAGTGCTCCAGGATAAGTACCAACTTACTTAGTGCTCCAGGATAAGTACCAACTTACTTAGTGCTCCAGGATAAGTACCAACTTACTTAGTGCTCCAGGATAAGTACCAACTTACTTAGTGCTCCAGGATAAGTACCAACTTACTTGATCCTCAGAGCAAGCCTAGGCGGTGGGTACTGTTTTGCTCCTGTTTTACCAGTGAGGAAGCAGGCACACAGAGGTGAAGTTGCCCAAGGTCACACAGATGGTTGAGGGAGAGCCGGATTGGAATGAACTCTGTGCTGTTAGCCACTGTGTGAGGCTGGACTGTTCCATTCCAGCCTTTACGGCCTCTTCCAGGCCATTCCCCAGCTGCACTTGGATTCTCAGGCCAGGCACCGGCGGTCTCCTGTGAGGGTGGAGAGGAAGAGGGGGCTGCGTGGCTCGGGGAGGTCCAGGAGAGATGGCGGGAGGAGTAGAGTTTGGGGCCTGCGGTGCCAGAGGACCCCCTTACAAGACGAAAGACTGGGTTCTCAGGCTCCTGAAGCAAGGAGCACCTTCAGGGGTCTCCTGGTATTCACCCATCAAGGCTTGCTCAGGTGGCATGCGTGTGTGCGTGGCGGCTGCCCCCGGGCCCGGAAGCGCCTGTGGATACCAAAGCAAGTGGAAATGCCAGATGGAAAAGCCCCGTGTTAGTCAATGCTGTAGAGTTCAGCCAGCCTCGAGTTTGCAGGTTTACAGAGCTGCCTTGCGCCTGGCTGCTGCTGCTGCTGCATTCCTGCTTCTGCCTCCAGCTGTGACCACCTCCTGCCACTCCTGCTCTCACTGTGGGTTCCTGCTCACTCTGTCTCCAGGACAGACTGCCTTCCGGGCAGCCTTCCCTCCTCAAGCCTCTTGGCCTTTGCAATCCTCTTACCTGGGTCACTGGTGGGATCTCATTTGTGGATCAAGTCGCCCCCAGTGGAGACAAATGTCTGATGGAGTCTGGCCAAGGCCCTCCTGAGCCTTCACTGGGCCCTGCATGAGAAGCCTGCCAAGGCTGAGGGGCCAGGGAAACGGAGACGAAGCCCTCAGAGCAGGCCAAGAGGGTGGGAGGTGGGGGGCATTTAGAGGGTTAGATACAGAGCACCCCTTTACAAATACCAGCTACTGGCTTTTCGTATTACATGTTCATTTTAGATACAACATACTGCACACGCTCCCTTAACGTGTGTTTACGCGTGGGTGGTGTATCCTTCCAGACGTCTTCCTCACATCTATACATAATATGCATAGATAAAACATTTACCACCAAAACCCATAGTGTTATGTACATATTTGTCTGGCTGTGTAACTTTAAATAACATACAAATGTATAGAACAGAAGCTTGCCCTCTTTCTGAAATATCTAACGTGGGATTTCAGGCTTTCTGATGAGACCTCTGTAGAGGTCAGTGTTTTGCCACCAGAGGTCCTTCAGCCTCCATCTGTTCTCCCACCTACCCACATTCTGGCCCCTGGCAATTCACAGGGAGTTTAGGAAGTAGACACCAGGGCCCTATTTCCTGGAGACCAGCCTGGTGGCCGATGTCATAGAGTGCGGTGGGCCTGGGCCGGCCCTGCTCTGGGCCCGTGACCTGCGTGTCTGACTCGGGTCCAGCTGTTCTTCCTGCCAGAGCCTCTTCCTGTGAGGCGGGGGTAACACAACCTTCTGTGGTGGCTGTGGGATTAATCCGTATGGCTGCATTGTGAGTAAAGCCTGGTGGAAATCTCTGTCTCCACTGCTTTCCTTTTCCTGCTGTTCACCTTGGCTCCCTCGACACTTAATCCCCCTCCACATGTGTCTGGAGCGGGCAGAGCGGGGGCAGTTGATAGAAAGGGGGCCGGGTAGTGCCAAGGCTGTTACTTTCCCCCACTGCCTCCCTTGGCTAACTTGAAGTCTGACCCTTTATACCAGAACTGTAAGACAGTGTGTCAGAATGGATTCAGTTGCAGAGCAGGAAGCCTGGATCCCAGCGCCGGACGGAAATGAGAGGTCGATGGTGCAGGCTGGTGTGGGGGTTCCTCCACCGTCAGGGCCCAGGCTCCTTCTCAGGTCTCAGTCTCACTCTTCTTAGCACGAGGTCAGGTCTCATTCCTTGGCTGCGGGAGCTCCAGCCAGCACACGTTTTAGGAAGAAGGAGGAAGGAAGAAGGTAAAGGGTGGATGGCAGCTGCCTCCTCCTCTCTTGGAAGCTCACAGAGCGCTGGGTCACAATTCCCTGGGTAGAACTGGATCACACAGGCACCCCTGTCAGCAAAAGAGGCTGGAAAAAGTATTTCTGAAGCTGAATCAAATTAAGATTCCTGTTACTAAGAAGGGAGTGATTGTATGGGCGACTACAGGGACCACGGCCATACACGGTGCCTGGAAGACCAAGCTTGTGACAGTGACGAGGATTTGGAGAGGGCAGGGTGATGGGGAGCTTTGGGGGGAGTGCATTAGGAACCCTGACCTGGAGAGGGGCAGAATGAAACCTGCGGGCCCCTAACCCTAGTGGGTTGTTTGAGAAACCTGTCCTACTGTGGCAGGGGGCTGAGTCTTCTCAGGGTCATGCATGAAAACTGAAATTCCTGAAGGCCACACACAGCCCCGGAAGTGCTGACTGACAAGGGCACATGCCAGTGATGCAGTTTTCTTTTTTGTCTTCACTTTTGTTGTTCCGCCGTCTTCAACACATGGCTCCCAGCTCACAGCAAATGCTGCCCTGGTTCAGCTACCAGGAAGCAGGAGAGGGGAAGGGAGGGCAAGCCTCATTCTTTATGGAACAAAAGCAGTGGGCAGACAGCCTTCCCTCACGTTCCACTCACTGGAATGTGGTCTGGCTGCCTTCCCTGCAGGAGGTGGGATGCACCCTCAGTGCAGCAGCCCTGCCCCAGCCAAAAACGTCTCAGCACAGCTGTAAGAAGAGGAAGATGGCTAGAGACAGGCAGCCTTCCCTGCAAGGGCAATGAGGCAAGCCTGCCAAAAGCCTCCTTTGGAAATACTGTTTGATTACTTTTCAGAGTTTCTATTTAGGAAAAGGGCAAAACCTTTCAGGATCAGGAGTAGGTGAGCGGCGATCAGGCCTCACTCTTCACCGAGGGCCTTCCCTGAGGAGGGGCCTGCAGGACGCTGGCAGCGGAATGGGGCTGTGTGGCTGCTAGATTAGGTCATGGCAGGGAGACAGCCTCTTCCTGGTTCTTGCTAGAACAGGCACACTTGGGGCCTTGAGCTCCAGGGAGTTCATGGAAGACATCTGACTACCCTGAGCCCCTTGCTGGAGGGTTCTGGGGAGTGGCCCACGGCCACCGTCACCCATGGCCACCGTCACCCACAGGGGCCGTGAGGACATCCCTGGCCAGCATCTAACACAACCACATGGGATGCCCTAAGCAACTACTGCCCAGCCGAGGGCTGCCTGAATTTCTGACTCACAAATGGTGGGCAATGTGAAACGGGTATTTTAAGCTGCTGAGTTCTGCGGGAGTTTGCTGAGCAACAGTAGAAACCAGAACTCTCGGATACTGTGTTCTGTCCTTGAAACGGTGGAAGATTTTATGTGACCAGAATGGAATGTTTGAACAAATATTTTGAGAATAGAATTTTAAAACATTTACTCATCAGCATCCAAGGGTGGGGAGCAGTGTCATCTAGGAGACTGGTTCTATTATTTACGTAGATGTTCTTGAATTAAAGGATGGGAATATTTTTTCCTTCCAAAACTTTTTTTCAATTTTATATTCTGTTTTTCAAGTTTTTATTATGAAAATATTCAAACTCACAGGGAAGTTGAAAGACTAATACAAAGAAGAACCATACTCTTTCCACTGACATGATCCAACGAGGAATATTTTGCCACACGGCAAATATATACCGTATAATTTTCTGTACCACTTGATAGAAAGGTAAAGAATGAATATTGTTTTTTAAATAACTTTTTTCGTATATAAGTAATATGTGCTTATCGTGTAACTACCTAAAAACATTGAAAAATAAAAGGAAAATAAAATTCATACATAACCGCCCTGCCCAGATTAACTATCTTTGGTTCTTGGCTTGCTGAGCAAGCTTCTGACCTGAACTTGGTCTTCATTGGGCACGGCTGCCCTCTACTGACAGCTGGGAGTCCTCGGCCTCCTTATGAATGAATCAAGCCAGTTGGTTCTGAAACTGCAGAACAGAGCCTGATGGCCTCATACCTGGGTTTTTAAAAATCAAAATCTGGCCGGGTGCGGTGGCTCTCGCCTGTAATCCCAGCACTTTGGGAGGCTGAGGTGGGTGGATCACGAGGTCAGGAGATCGAGACCATCCTGGCTAACACGGTGAAACCCCGTCTCTACTAAAAATACAAAAAATTAGCTGGTCGTGGTGAAGGGCGCCTGTAGTCCCAGCTACTCGGGGGGCTGAGGCAGGAGAATGGGTGAACCCGGGAGGCGGAGCTTGCAGTGAGCCGAGATCACACCGCTGCACTCCAGCCTGGGAGACAGTGCGAGACTCCTCTCAAAAAAAAAAAATCAAAATCTTGGGTGAGGCCTCACCTGAAATATCAAGTGTGACTTCCCTGTCCTTGTCATATTGCTCCCTTGAATTGGAGCCTGCCCTGATGCCCGCCTGGCTCCAGGCCAAGCCCTAGCAGTTCTCCACCCCAGTTAGACAGCATGCAGCTGTGGTTCCAACGCCCCTCCCTCAGCTGAACCGATGCCCCTGATTCTCCCTAAATTCTCCTTTGTCCTTCAGTTCATCTTTCTTGTCCTTTTGCTCCAATCACATAGTGTGAGGGAAGACTCTCCTGAAACCATGTTTTCCCTCCGCTCTCACACTGCAACAATCATCTACACAGAAGAAGACTTCTGTGACCAAACGTGTGGGGACCTCTCCCCACTCCCAAGCGGTGGACGTCAGCCAGGTGTCCTCCAATCAGTTCCAACCCTGTCTACCTGGAGATAGTGCCAGATCCCACAGGTTGAGGGCTCCATCCCCAAGACTCATCCTTGCCCCACCCCACCAATCGAATGTTGGGGCCTCCAGAACTTCTGACCAACTGGGTTCAAGTTGGGGTTCCCACAACCCCCTCTTTGAGTTTGATTAATCTGGGGGAGTTGCTCACAGAGAATCAGTTTACTAAGAAGGATATTTTAAAGGATATGGATAATTAGCCAGACGAAGAGGTACATAGGGTGAGGCCTGGAAGCACAGGAGCTTCTGTTGCCGTGGAGCTGGGGTGCCCCACCCTCCCGGCATGTGGACGAGTTCTTCACCCTCCTGTCGGCCTCCACGTGTTCGGCCCAGTCCCCTTGGTTTTTTATGGAAGCTTCATGACTTTAGCATTCCTTCCCCCAGGGTATAGGATGGGACCCTCTCATGGGAGGGCCTTGAGTCCTGCCTCAGGGCAGTGGAAGGTCAGAGTCCTGCCCCTGAGGCCTGACTCACCCAACACTGTAACAAAAGACTGTAACAAGGGCTGTGGGAATTATGAGCCAGGAACCCTGGGTTGAAAACCAATACATAAACCAATATACGTACACATATTGTGAAGAGAAAATACAACTTGGGACCTCAAAATCACTAAGCCGAAGGGACAGATCAAGCTGGGAACTGTGTCACACAAACCTGCCTTCCATTCACAAATAAAAAAGCTACATGCCTCCCTCACAATTTGCCCTTGTGGGCAAGATCTTTACCCTAAAAGTGTTCTGTTGAATTCCACCCTGACAATGTAAATTGATAGTCTATCTTCGCAGTGATGGGACAAAGGAAAGAACTCAGCCATTTCTTTGCTCACCTGAGACAAATGCATATGTGATTGCTTCCTCTGCCCTACTTTATCTTATGTGAAAGTGCAGATTCACCCCAGCTAGCTGACTATTCCTTTGCCTCCCTTACATGTGGACGGCTGATCAAAGGCTCAAAAGAAGGCAACCACTTGCCTTTTATCTACCCACACCTTTTAAAAATGTCTTCCTCTTTCTGCAATACCTGCCCTTTTTCCTTTAAATATTGAAGCCCTCAAAATCATCTTTGGAGAAAGGCACAGACTTGGGTCCTGGGTGCATGTCCTTAACATTGGCAAAATAAACTTCTAAATTGACTGAGCTCTGTCTCAGATACTGTTTGGTTTACATGGTAACCATGAAGGGATTCTGAGTGGAGCTACCCCTGACCTTTGGCAAATCTCCTACGGGTACTTGGTGCCAGCTTGAGCTACCTTTATTGCTCAAATCAGTTGGACAATTTGCTGAGCCCTGGGAGCTCCTGTCTCCAGAGAATCCCTGATCTTCCAAAATCTGGTTGAGGTTTAAGGATTATTCTGCTGTGAAACTCTTTTTCTGGAGTTTTATTCACTTTCAACAAGGAGGGAGAGTTTTCCTGCTTCCATGATAATGGGGTGCAGGCAACTCCTTTGTGGAATTTCAGCCCACTTCCAACAGGGAAAGCAAGTTTGAGTTTTTTCCTACTTCTAGGATAGTAGTGTAGCAGGACCAGCCGCAGACAAAACTCCTCAGACACCGAGTTAAAGAAGGAAGGGGTTTATTCAGCCAGGAGCATTGGCAAGACTCCTGTCTGAAGAGCTGAGCTCCCCTAGTGAGCAATTCTTGTCCCTTTTAAGGGCTCACAACTCTAAGGGGGTCCACGTGAGAGGGTCGTGATCGATTGTGCAACCAGCGGGTACACGACTGGGGGCTGCATGCACCGGTAATCAGATTGGAACAGAACAGGACAAGGGTTTTCACAGTGCTTTTCCATACAATGTCTGGAATCTACAGATAACATAATCGAGTAGGCCGGGGCTCGATCTTTAACTACCAGGCCCGGGGTGTGGCGCCGGGCTGTCTGCTTGTGGATTTCATTTCTGCCTTTTCATTTTTACTTCTTCTTTCTTTGGAGGCAGAAATTGGGCATGAGACAATATGAGGGGTGGTCTTCTCCCTCAGTAGAGCACAGTCTTTAGCCAGGTCTCATTCCTAGGTAAGTAGCTGAATGGGGGTTTTGTCTTGGAAATTCTCCTTAATCACTAAAGTTAAGATGAACAACCAGTTGGTCTTAATTCCTCCTTACCATTAGAGTGCTCAGTAATAATATAAATTGTGTGATCATTTGTTTGTTTTGATTAACTGCTTTTTAAAAATTTGTTAGTTTCTGTTTTTGTTGTTTTGGTCTCTTTCCCATTAGGTTTGACCAACTCTACCCGACTTGATCAAATCCAGAGAAAAGTTCCAAATTATGGGGAACAAGGCCTCTGGATTGGCTAAATTCCCTCAGCTGAAAAAAAGGAAAAAGAAAAAATGGCCAGCAACAAGGAATGTGGGAGTTACCAACCAGCAACCATGGATGAAAGCCAGTACATGCATCTCTATGTCATAACAGCACACACACCTTGTCCTGTTGTACTTTCCACCTCCTGGGGTCTCTGGGGCATTTCATTTTACTCTTGCTCTTTTTTCAAGCTATCAATTTACGCCTCATTGCAAATAGCATATTCATGTATCCATATTTGTATAAGGAAGCCTCTATCATTTTTTTCTTTTTCTTTTTTTTTTTTTTTTGAGATGGAGTCTTGCTCTGTCACCCAGGCTAGAGTGCAGGTGGTGCGATCTCAGCTCACTGCAACCTCCACCTCCCGGGTTCAAACGATTCTCCTGCCTCAGCTTCCTGAATAGCTGGGATTACAGGCATGTGCCACCAAGACTGGCTAATTTTTGTATTTTTAGTAGAGATGGGGTTTCACTATGTTAGCCAGGCTAGTCTCAAACTCCTGACCTCAGGTGATCCACCCACCTTGGCCTCCTTAAGTGCTGAGATTACAGGCATGAGCCACTGCACCCGGCCTACCATTTTCATAAAAAGGATATACTTTGTTTCTCCTTCACAAAATTTGGGGCAATGAGAAAGATCCCAGTCATCTCTCTCTCTCTCTCTCTCTCTCATTTTCTTTTTTTAGACAGTGTCCTTCTCTGTCACCCAGGCTGGAGTGCAGTGGCACAGTCTCGGCTCACTGCAGCCTAAACCTCTGGGGCTCCAATGATTCTCCCACTTCAGCTTCCTGAGTAGCTGGGACCACAGGTGCATACCACCGTGCCTGGCTAATTTTTTAAAAAAAACTTGTAGAGACCAGGTCTTGCTATGTTGCTCAGGCTGGTCCCAAACTTCTAGGCTCCAGCGATCTTCCTGTGTCAGCCTCCCACAGTGCTGGTATTACAGGCGTGAGCCACCGTGCCCAGCACCAGTCATATCTCTTAAGAACAATGGTTTTGGAGGAGTTGGGGTGGGAAGCCAGACTCTCCTGCTGGCATATTCTGACTGCTTCTTCAGGAGGTCCGGCAGGTGATCACATGGAGCTCAGATGAACTGGTTTATCTGCCTCCATTCAGGGGTAGACAGGGACTGACGTGATTCTGCACTTAAGTGATGAAAGTAATGGTAATCTAAACATATCATGGTTTACTGTCAGACCCTTTCTGTCAGGAGAAAGTAAGAAGTTTAGCTTTCTGACAAGTGCATGATGAGCAGGAGAGGAGAGACTGAGATGTTCGAGCACATTTCAAAAAGTGGAAGCATCAATCTAGATTGGGCTGGAGTCCAGCGAAGCCAGTAACTGGGTCACTCTCAGCTTTTTGGCCAACAGCCTTTTCTCGTTGCCTCATTTTCTTCTTACCACAGATAGCTCCTTCTCAAGAACCTCATGCTGTAGGATGTGAAACAGCTTCAGATGCTCTTCTCCTTTGACACGTTCAGATAACCATGACGTGACCATCCCATTGACATTAGTGATAGGATCAATTCGTGCTGAAATGCAAGTGATACTCAGCAGAATTCATTAGGGTGACGGTGGGATAGTGTTGAGTTGAATTAAGAACTTAGATGATAGGAAGTTTGAGGGAAGTATATTGGGAATTTTATCAGTGAGATGGGGCTAGATTCTCCTCTGCCGTATTTATTTATAATATGCCCAGTTCTAGATCAAAATAACAAGTGGAATAATGCTTTGGAAATCTTTTCTCTTCCAAACACATAGCAACAATGTATAAATAAAAGATATAGAGACACAACTTTAGTATAAAGTAAATATATCTGGAACAGAAACGGAAGAGAAACAAAAACAGTGAGTGAGACCATATCTGATTTTGTCCTGCACTTGTTTTGCCCATGTATGGACTGGTCATTATAAGATTAGTTTCTGAAGGGAAAATGTCTCTAAATACTGTAAATGAAAAAGTGTCTGAGACATGTCTCAATCAATTTAGAATTTTATTTTGCCAAGGTTAAGGACACATGCCTGGGAGGCAGGTCTGTGCCATTCTCCAAAGATGATTTTGAGGGCTTCAATATTTACAGGAAAAGGGCAGATATTGGACAAAGAAGAAGAAATTTTTAAAAGGTGTGGGTAGGTAAGAGGCAAGCAGTTGCGTTCATCTGAGCCTTTGATCAGCTGTTCACACGTGAGGGGGGTAAAGGAATAGTCATGCATTGAGCTAGCTTCGTGAATCTGTGTTTTTACGTAAGATAAAATAAACATAGGTCAGAGGAAGCAATCAGATGCACATTTGTCTCAGCTGAACAGAGGGATAACTTTGAGTTCTGTCCTTTGTCCCGTACCTGTGAAGGTAAGCTATCAATTTACATCGTCAGGGTGAAATTCAACAGAACTGTTTTAGGGGTAAAGATCCGGGGCCTGCAAAAAATTTCCTAGTGGGCAAATTGTGAGGGAGGTATGCAGTTTCTTATCTTTGTAGTTACCTTATTTAGGAAGAAAATGGAAAGCAGGTTTGCTTGACGCAGTTCCCAGCTTGACTTTCCCTTCGGCTTAGTGATTTTGGGGTCCTGAGATTTATTTTCCTTTCACAATGCTATGATTGGATGTCCCCGATGTCCAGTATTACTTCAAATAATTTTTATTTCTTTTCTTTTTTTTTTTTTGAGACAGAGTCTCACTCTGTCGCCCAGGCTGGAATACAGTGGCACAATCTTGGCTCACCGCAGCCTCCACCTCGTGAGTTCAAGTGTTTCTCCTGCCTCAGCCTCCTGGGTAGCTGGGACTACAGGCATGTGCCACCATGCCCAGCTAATTTTTGTATTTTTAGTAGAGACAGGGTTTCACCTTGTTGGCCAGACTGGTCTCGAACTCCTGGCCTCAAGTGATTTGGTCACCTTAGCCTCCCAAAGTGCTCGCATTACAGGCGTTAGCCATTGCACCCAGCCTCAGAGAATTAATTTCTAACATCCATCATACATGCTGATCCTGGATTGCCAACCTAGACGGCTGGGTAGAGATGACCAATTATCTGACAGACAAGAGGTATGAGCCTGAAAATAAATGCGGGCAGGCAGGGGAGGGAAAAAGAAGAGTAAAGAGAAAAAGAAAATGGAAAAACTAGGCTGGATGCGGTGGCTCACACCTATAATCCCAGCACTTTGGGAGGCCAAGATGGGCAGATCACTTGAGGTCAGGAGTTTGAGGCCAGCCTGGCCAACATGGTGAAACCCCGTCTCTACTAAAAACACAAAAATTACCTGGGTGTCGTAACGTACACCTATAGTCCCAGCTACTTGGGAGGCTTAGGCAGGAGAATTGCTTGAACCCGGGAGGCGGAGGTTGCAGTGAGCGGAGATCACGCCACTGCACTCCAGCCTGGGCGACAGAGTGAGACTCTTAAGAAAAAAAAAAAGAAAATGGAAAAACTAAAATTCCTACTGAAAATAAGTGTGCCAAACAATATTCTAAAGCACAAAAGTCTAATGCTGAGATAAGCAACAAAGAATTAAACAATGAGAACACAAGCTCACTCTAGAACCAGAGGAAAATACTTGAAAAAGTATATTAAAGATATTTTTTAAAAGATAGTGTAGATATGGACATACAGAATGGAATAACAGACACTGTAGACTTGGAAAGGAGAGAGGGAGGAAGGGGGCTGAGGGATAAAAAATTACATAATGGGGATGGAGAGTGTCCTCACTGGTTCAGAAGCCACAAGGGGTTGACCAGGTATGTCTTGGTCACTGCTGTGTCTCCATATCCTAGAACAATGCCTGGCACAGAGTAGGTGGTGGGTATACATTTACCGAATAGGTGAATGGATGGCTGGGTGGGAGGGATGATGGGTGGTGGATGGATAAATGGGTGGGTGGGTGGATGGATGGATGGATGGATGGATGGATGGATGGTTGGGTGGAGGGATGGGTGGGTAGATGGATGGGTGGGTGGATGGGTGGTGGGTGGATGGGTGGTAGGTGGTTGGTGGATGATGGATGGATGATTGGGTGGTGGATGGGTAAGAAAAAAAGGAAATTACCTTATGAGTACAATGTACTTTATTTGGGTGACAGCAACATGAAAAGCCCAGACTCCTCCATGTAATATACCCATGTAACAAAACTGCATTTGTACCCTCTAAATCTATAAAAAATTTAAACTAAAAAAGAATGTTTAATAGTAATCCCAGGAGTCCTGGCATCAAGGTTATTCATTTATGAATAGGGCCCAGGCCCTCTTGCCTGGCTGTCAAAGAGATACTTTAAGGGTTGTTAAAAAAAAAGAAAAAGGAATCGTACTTCAATGGAAAACTCGGCATTGTCTAAAGGATAGCCCTCCAGTGCATCAGATTCTAATCTTTCATTGTCTTTTACAACCATTTATGTTTTCAGTAATCGATAGCAATGCAAAATATTCCCATAGACAATAGATGTGCAGATTCTGTCCTGTTGAGAGAGATCCAGTTGATTTCCCGCCCCCTATGGAAACCTCAGTTTCTCTCCATTTATACATTCATTTCAAGATTTGTGATCTATAAATACATCTGTCCTTCGGGTTGTAGTGCCTGCCTGATTCCCTCATTAATGAGTAAAATAAAGTCTTTAACATGTATTTATTTAAAAAAAAGATTTAAAAAGACGAGGGAACCCAACAGTGTGAATATACTTAACAATGCTGAAGCGTAACTTAAAATGGTTAAGATGGTCAGTTGCATGTTTATTTTACCACAATTTAGAAAAAGGACAGAAGCCATAGTACCTTCCTTTCAATAAAGCCAAAATAGAACAAGAAATTATTAGAAGAAAATAAGTAGAAATTAAACAAGAATAGTTAGCCTTTAAAAAAGCAGTGTAACATGTTGGAAATAAAATATATTCTTTTTGAAACAAAAATGCAATATGAGAAAAAACTATTGATGGGATTGTTCAAAGACTGCATTAAACATTTGGCTGATTAACATAGGACATTATTAACATTATTAAATTATAACATTAATTAATTAATAATAATTAATAATTAACAATTAATAATTAATTAATAATTAACAATTAATAATAATTAATTAATAATCAATAATTAATTAATAATTTAACATTATTAAATTATTAAACATAGGGCTCCCAGAATACAGAACAGAGAGATCAAGGAACACCGAGAAAGAGAAGAGCTGATGGCCAGGCATGGTGGCTCACCTCTGTAATCCCAGCACTTTGGGAGGCTGAGGCGGGAGGATTCCTTGAGCCAAGGAGTTAGAGACCAGCCTGGGCAACATAGTGAGACCTCGTCCTTAAAAAAAGAAGAGCAGATAAGAGATGTACAGATAGATGGAGAGGTTCTGACAGCTTCCAACAGGAATTCCAGAAAAAGAGAATTGTAGGGACAATAAAAAGGCAACATTAGAAAGAAACTGTTGTAAATATCCCAAATTATTGAAAAACAAGTGTGACAATTCAACTGATGACAGACCTCTTATCAGGGACACAGTTTCCAGACGACATAGGAGGAATAACTTGAAAAGGCTGGGCTATTTCGCCACTTTGGAGGGGCCGCAACCTCCAGAGCAGGTGCCACCGTGGGAACTCTGCCTGGGATTCTCCCCAAGAGCCATCCCTGCCTCCCTCTTTCTTTCTAGCTCCCTGCCTCCCTCCTGCTGTGTGCCTGCAGTGTGAAAGGAGACTCCTCCAAACCCCTGCTGCACCTGCATATGGAGAATGCCATTGATGCTGGGCCTCACCAACTCCTCTCTTCCCCACCTTGGTCAAGAAGCAGATGGCCTTTGGATGGTTGGATTGGATGCTGCTGTAGAAACAGAAGTCAGGGAGACATAGTCGCCATCACGCCTACTGTTGTTTTTAACGTGGACACAGACTGTTAGTTTCACCGTGCCAGATGCTGGTGGTCAAGATAAAATTAGGCTCTTCTGCAGGCATTACTTCCAGACCAGGTCTTTTTTTTTGTTTTTTTGGTGGTAGATAGCAATAACCATGAAAAAAATCAGGAAGGATGGGAAAAGCAGCAGCAAATGCTCCAAGAAGATGAGTATGGAGATGCAGTGCTGCTACTTTTTGCAAACAGGATTTGCTGAACGCTATACTTAACGTTACTAATCATTAAGAAATTGCAAATCACAACTACAATGAGATATTACCTCATTCGTGTTAGAATGGCTATTATCAAAAAGATTAAAAAATAACAAACATTGGCATGAGTGTGGCGAAATGGGAATTCTTATGCACTGTTGGCAAGAAAGTAAATTAGTACAGCCCTTATGAATAACAATATAAAGGTTCCTCAAAAAATTAAACAGAACAACCATGTGGTCCAGCAATCCTACTACTGGGTAATCATCTAGAGAAAATGAAATCAATATGTCAAAGAGATACCTTCACTCCCGTGTTAATTGCATCACTATTCCCAATAGCTGAGATATGGAATCGACCTGTGTCTATCAATGAATCAATGAATTTTTAAAATGTGGCATATACACACAATGGAAAACTATTGAGCCATAAAAATGAAATCCCGCCATTTGTGACAACATGGATAAACTTGAAGAACGTTATGTTAAATGACATAAGCCAGGTACAGAAACAAATACTGCTGGATCTCACTGATTTGTGGAATATAAAAAAGCTGATCTCATAAAAGTTTAGAGTAGAATAATGGTTACTAGATGCTGGGGAAAGTAGGGTGGAGAGGAGATTGTGAAGAGATTGGTCAACAGCTACACAATTATGAATACATAGGAGGAATAAGTTCTGGTCTTCTATTACACAGTAGGGTGACTATAGTTAACAGTATTGTATTGCATATTTTATTATGACTAGAACAGAGAATTTCACAAAGAAATGATAAATGTTTGAGGTGATAGATATGTTAAATACCCTGATTTGATCATTACATAATGTATATATGCATTGAAACATCACATTCTCCCCCATAAATATGCACAATATTCTCTCATGTACTAGGCTCCCAGCAAGTGTTTGTTGAAAGCAGAAGTTCAATGGAAGCCCACAATGGCAGTCACAAAAGTCAATACCCACAAAGCTTTATTAATTTTTTTTCTGTCTTCCTGCCTTTTGGTCCCAGATGTAGGTACAGTTACAAAAGTGCATGGTAGAATACCTGATATGGTTTGGATGCATGTCCTTTTCCAATATCATGTTGAAATGTGATTCCCCAGTATTGAAGGTGGGGCCTAATGGAGGTGTTTGTGTCATGCGGGTGGACCCTTCATGAATGTCTTGCTGCCCTTCCTGCAGCAATGAGTTCACGGGACAGCTGGTTGTTTAAACAGCCTGGCACCTCCTGCCTCTCTCTTTTGCTCCCTCTCTCATCATGTGACATGCTGGCTCCCACTTCACCTTCCGCTATGAGCAAAAGCTTCTGGAGGCCTCACCGGAAGGTGAGCAGATGCTGGTGCCCTGCCTGTTCAGCCTGCAGAACCATGAGCCAAATAAACCCTTTTTTAAAAAAAAATAAATTACCCAGTCTCAGGTATTCCTTTATAATGATGCAAAATGGACGAACTAACATAGTATGAAAGCCAAAGTACAACATTTCTGGCTAGAGGACTTAAAAAGAAGAGCCTCAGGAAGCTAGATAGTACTGGGGGGATGGGGGGTGCGGGGGGAGAGAGAGAGAGAGAGAGAGTGACAAAGAGAGGGAAGATATGGTAACTTATCCCATAAACTATTCATGAACTCCTGGGCTCACCTTGAGCTACACATACATGGATCTGAACCTAATCAGTATATAAAAGACTTTTGTTGCTCAACAAACAGAAAGCATGCTCAGGTCCCAGACTAACCACTGGATGGTACACATATGAAAAAGATCAGAATAGTTATACAAAGGTCTTGAAAACTGACATTGGAACCACAAGCCACAGAAGGTAAGCTGGAATTTGTGGCTTGAAATGAACTAGGTCAATTGCTTGTGCGAACCCCCCAAATCTGAGACGATCTCAGTTAATTTAGAAAGTTTATTTTGTCAAGATGGAGGATGCATGCCCATGACACAGCCTCAGGAAGTCCTGATGACATGTGCCCAAGGTGGTCAGGGCACAGCTTGGTTTGAAACATTTAGGGAGACATGAGATATCAATCAATATAGGTAAGAAGTACATTGGTTCTATCTAGAAAGGCGGGGGCAACTCGAAGCAGGGAGGGAGCTTCCAGGTCACAGGTAGGTGAGAGACAAATGGTTGCAGTCTTTTGAGTTTCTGATGAGCCTCTCCAAAGGAGGCAATCAGAAGATGCATCGATCTCAGTGAGCAGAGCAATGACTTTGAAAGAATGGGAGGGAGATTTGCCCTGAGAAGCTCCTAGCTTGAATTTTTCCTTTAGCTCCGTGATTTTGGGGGCCCAAGATATTTTCCTTTCACACTTGCCAAGGCAAAAATATTAATATTCTCTGTAAGACCCATGATCTCATAACATAATATTCAAAATATTCAAGAAATTATCCAAAATTACTTCAGACGCAAGGAACCAGGAACATCTCAATCCACATGGGGAAAGACAATCAATGGGTGCCAATGCCAAGATTTTGAATTATGTGACAAAGAATTTAAAGCAGCTACTATAAAAATATTCAATAAGCGATCATGACCAATTTTGAAATGAATGTAAAATATAGAAGTCAAAAAAAAAAAAAAGAAACAAGATGTCATGAGCCAAACGGAAATTTTAGAAGTGAAAAATATAACAAATTAACAAAAAAGTCCTCACAGTTGGACGCAATGGCAGCATGGATATGATGGAGGAAAAAATCAGGTGACTTGAAAATAGATCAATAAAAGTTATCTAATCTGAACAAGAGAGAAGAAATAGATTTTAAAAACAAAGCTGGCTGGGCACGGTGGCTCATGCCTGTAATCCCAGCACTTTGGGAGGCCAAGGAGGGCAGATCATGAGGTCAGGAGATCGAAACCATCCTGGCTAACATGGTGAAACCCCGTCTCTACTAAAATACAAAAAATTAGCCAGGCATGGTGGTGGGTGCCTGTAGTCCCAGTTACTTAGGAGGCTGAGGCGGGAGAATGGCATGAACCCAGGAGGCAGAGCTTGCAGTGAGCCGAGATAGTGCCACTGCACTCCAGCCTGGGCAATAGAGCGAGATTCCACCTCAAAAAATATAAAATAAAATAAAATAAATCAAGCCAGAAGGATATGTAGAATAATAATAAGAGATCCACTGTTTATGTTGTCAGATACCTAGAAGGAGAAGAGAAAGAGTATAATGCTGAAAAAATACGTGAGGACATAAGGCCTGAAAATTTCCCAAGTTTGGCAAAAAATATAAACCCACACATTCAAGAAGCTCTGTGATCTCCAAACATGATAAACCCCTGAAAGCTCATACCCTGAGCACATCATAATCAAAATTTTGAAAACTACAGACAGAAAAAATTTGAAAGCACCAAGAGAAAAAAAATGGGGCCTTACCTATAAGGAAACAATGATTTAAATGACTGTGAATTTCTCATCAGAAATTATAGAGACTAGAAGACAGTGGAACAACATTTGTAAAGTACTGAAAGAAAATAACTGCTAACCCAGAATACTATATCCAGTGAAAATATTCTTCAGTAATAAGGGCAAAATGAAGACATTCTCAGTTGGAGGAAAACTTAGAGTGTTTACATGTAGCAGACCTACTGTAGAAGAATTGCTAAAATAAGTTCTCCAGACAGAAGGGAAATAATGCTAGAAAACTTGGAACTTCAGCCTCTCCCTCTCCCTCTCCCTCTCCCTCTCCGTCTCCCTCTCTCCACGGTCTCCCTCTGATGCCGAGCTGAAGCTGGACGGTACTGCTGCCTGATTCTCCTGCCTCAGCCTGCCGAGTGCCTGCGATTGCAGGTGCGCGCCGCCACGCCTGACTGGTTCTCGTATTTTTTTGGTGGAGACGGGGTTTTGCTGTGTTGGCCGGGCTGGTCTCCAGCTCCTAGCCGCGAGTGATCCGCCAGCCTCGGCCTCCCGAGGTGCCGGGATTGCAGATGGAGTCTGGTTCACTCAGTGCTCAATGGTGCCCAGGCTGGAGTGCAGTGACGTGATCTCGGCTCGCTACAACCTCCACCTCCCAGCCGCCTGCCTTGGCCCCCCAAAGTGCCGAGATTGCAGCCTCTGCCCGGCCGCCACCCCGTCTGGGAAGTGAGGAGCGTCTCTGCCCTGCAGCCACCTCGTCCAGGAGGGAGGTGGGGGGGTCAGCCCCCCGTCCGGGAGGGAGGTGGGGGGTCAGCCCCCCGCCCGGCCAGCCGCCCCGTCTGGGAGGTGAGGGGCGCCTCTGCCCGGCCGCCCCTACTGGGAAGTGAGGAGCCCCTCTGCCCGGCCACCACCCCGTCTGGGAGGTGTACCCAACAGCTCATTGAGAAAGGGCCATGATGACAATGGCGGTTTTGTGGAATAGAAAGGGGGGAAAGGTGGGGGAAAGATTGAGAAATCGGATGGTTGCTGTGTCTGTGTAGAAAGAGGTAGACATGGGAGACTTTTCATTTTGTTCTGTGCTAAGAAAAATTCTTCTGCCTTGGGATCCTGTTGATCTGTGACCTTACCCCCAACCCTGTGCTCTCTGAAACATGTGCTGTGTCAACTCAGGGTTAAATGGATTAAGGGCGGTGCAAGATGTGCTTTGTTAAACAGATGCTTGAAGGCAGCATGCTCCTTAAGAGTCATCACCACTCCCTAATCTCAAGTACCCAGGGACACAAACACTGCGGAAGGCCGCAGGGTCCTCTGCCTAGGAAAACCAGAGACCTTTGTTCACTTGTTTATCTGCTGACCTTCCCTCCACTATTGTCCTGTGACCCTGCCAAATCCCCCTCTGCGAGAAACACCCAAGAATGATCAATTAAAAAAAAAAGAAAAAAAATAAAATAAAATAGGCTATGTTGCCCAGGCTTGTCTTAAAAAAAAAAAAAAGAAAACTTGGAACTTCAAAAATGCAGGAAGAGCGATGGAAATACTAAATATCTTGGTAAATATAATAGTGCATCTTCTCCTCTTGAGCTCTCTAAAATATATTTTACAATTGAAAACAAAAATTATAACATTGTTTGATGAGGTTTTCAATGTAAAGTTGATTCTCATTATTCATGGTTATCATGTTCTATTAAGTCACTGTGAACACTGAATTAGTGAATATTGAACCACTGCTCCTAGATTTTATACACATACACACACACACGTATTTATCTAGTAATATATATATCGCATAGATTGTAATCTTAAATCCTAACAATAATACATTTTAATAGATTTAATTTTCTTTATTTTACAAAAGAGAAAAAGGTTCAAGAGTGTTAAGTGACTTGCCTGAGGTTGCCACACTGACGGACTTTCAAATCTGGAGTTTAAATCTCATTCGACTGGCCCCAGATCTGGAGCTTCTTCTACTACATATCACTGTTGCCTGTCATCTCAAATCTCTGGTCATTTCTTTATGAAACCTGAAACAGGAAGAAAAAACATCACCTTGTTTACCATTAGCTAGGAATGTGCACTTTGTATGACTCAAATATTTTTCTACTCTACCCATGTCCTGTGAATGACTTGCAAAAAAGCACTGTGAATATTGATTTTGGCGTTATAAATAATTCTAGTTAGTAGGCAAATTCACAAATGCAAAATCTGCAAATAATAAAGATTAACTGTATATAGAAGTAACATGTAAGACAACTATGACATAAAGAGAAAATAGTAAAAGAACCTCTATGATGGTAAGGCTTCTACATTCCACTTGAAATGGTAAAATATTGATGCTTTTTTTTTCCTTTGAGAAGGGTCTTGCTCTGTTGCCCTGGTGGGAGTGCAGTGGTGTGATCTAGGCTCACTGAAGCCTCAACCTCCTAGGCTCAAGCAGTCCTCCCACTTTGGCCTCCCAAGTAGCTGGGACTACGGGTGTGTGCCACCATGCCCGGCTATTTTTTTTTTTGTAGAAATGGGGTTTCACCTTGTTGCCCAGGACAGTCAAATTCCTGATATCAATTGATCCACCCACCTCGGCTTCCTAAAGTGCTGGGATTACAGGCATGCACCACTGTGCCTGGCCTAAAATATTGATTCTAAGCAGACTGTGAAAAGTTAAGTATGTATACTGTAATCCCTAGAACAACCACAAAAAACTATGCAAATTAATATAGTTAAAATCACAATAGATAAATTAAGTGGAATATTAAAATTGTTCAAATAACCCAAAGGAAAGCAGGAGAGGGGAAACAGAGGGAGAAAAACAAATGGATCAATGAAAACAAATAATAATATAGTAGCTACAAATCCAAATGTGAATAATTATATTAAGTGTAGATAGTCTAAACACATGAAGTAAAAGATATAGTTAGGCCAATTTAAAAAACATTATCCAACTGTATTTAAATAGGCTCATTTCATATATATAGTCAGGGTAAAATTAAAAAATTACAAAATAAAGAAACAAAAAACAGTAGCATTTCTATATACCAACATTGAACAATCAGAAAAAAATTTAAAAATGTAATCTCATCTGCAATAGCCACAGATAAAACTAAATACCTAGGAATTAACCAAATAAGTTAAAGATGTATATAGTGAAAACTTTAAAACACTGATAAAGGAAATTGAAAAGGACACCAAAAAAGGAAAAATATTTCATGTTCATGGATTAGAAGATTAATATTGTTAAATTGTCCATATTCCCTAAAGCAACTGACAGATTCAATGCAATCTCTATCAAAATACCAATGGCATTTTGAAAGAAATAGAAAAAAAATACTAAATTTTACACGGAACAACAAAAAACCCAGAATAGCTGAAGCTAAAGCTATTCTGAGCAAAAAGAACAAAACTGCAGGAATCACATTACGTGACTTCAAATTATACTATAGAGCTATAGTAATCAAAACAGCATGATACTGGTATAAAAACAGACACATAGACCAATGGAACAGACTAGAGAAACAAATTCACATGCCTACAGGGAATTCATTTTTGACATATGTGCCAAGGACATGCATGGGAGAAAAGGTGGTCTCTTCAATAAATGACGCTTGGAAAACTGGATATCCATATGCAGAAAAATGAAGTTAAATCCCTATCTCTCACCATATACAAAAATCAAATCAAAATGGATTAAAGACTTAAATCTAAAACCTCAAACTATGAGACTAGCACAAGAAAACACTGGGGAAACTCTACAGGACATTAGTCTGGGCAAAAATTTCTTGAGCAATACCTCACAAGCACAGGCAATCAAGGCAGAAAAGGACAAAAAGAGACCACATCAAGTTAAAACACTTCTGCACAGCAAAATAAACCACCAATAAAGGGACAACCCACAGACTGGGAGAAAATATTTGCAAGCTACCCATCTGACAAGGGATTAATAACCACAATATATAAGGAGCTCAAACAACTCTATAGGAAAAAAATCGAATAATCCAGTCAAAAAGTGGGCAAAAGATTTGAATAGACATTTCTCAAAAGAAGAAACACAGGCTGGGGGCAGTGGCTCATGCCTGTAATCCCAGCACTTTGGGAGGCCGAGGTGGGTGGATCACCTGAGGTCAGGAGTCAGAGACCAGCCTGGCCAACACGGTGAAACCTCGTCTCTACAGAAAATACAAAAATTAGCCAGGCATGGTGGCACATGCCTGTAATCCCAGCTACTTGGGAGGCTGAGGCAGGAGAATCGCTTGAATCTGGGAGACGGAAGTTGTGGTAGGCCGAGATTGCACCACTGCACTCTAGCCCCAGGGGACAGAGCAAGACTCCATTTCAAAAAAAAAAAGACACACAAATAGCCAACAGGCATACAAAAAGGTGCTCAAAATCATTGATCATCAGAGAAATGCAAATCAAAGCTACAGTAAGATACCATCTCACCCCAGTTAAAATGGCTTATATCCAAAAGACAGGCAATAACAAATGCTGGCAATAATGTGGAGAAAAGAGAAGTCTTACACACTGTCGTTAGGAATGTAAATTAGTATAACTACTATTGAAAACAGTTTGGAGGTTCCTCAAAAAGCTAAAAATAGAGCTACCATATGATCCAGCAATCCCACTATCGAATATATACCCCCAAAGAAAGGAAATCAGTATATCAAAGAGATATCTGCACTCCTATGTTTATTGCAGCACTGTTCACAATAGCTAAGATGTGGAAGCAACCTAAGTGTCCATCAACAGGTTAATGGTTAAAGAAAATGTGGTACATATACACAATGGGGTACTATTCAGCCATAAAAAAGAATGAAATTCAGTCATTTGCAACAACATGGATAGAACTAGAGATGATTATGTTAAGTGAAATAAGCCAGGCACAGAAAGACAAATATTACATGTTCTTGCTTACTTGTGGGATCTAAAAAATCAAAACAATCGGACTCATGGAGGTAGGGAGTAATTGGATCATTACCAGAGGGTGGGAAGGGTCGTGGGCAGCTGAGGGGAGGTGGGCAAGGTTAATAGGTATAAAAAATAGAAAGGGTGAATAAGACCTACTATTTGATAGCACAATAGGTGACTACAGTCAATAATAACTTAATTGCACATTTAAAAATAGATAAAAGAATGTAATTGGATTGTTTGTAACACAAAAGATTAATGCTTGAAGGGATGGATATCCCATTCTCCATGATGTGATTATTACGCATTGCACGCCTGTATCAAGACATCTCATGGACCCCATAAATATATATACCTACTATGTACCCATAAAATTAAAAATAAAAAAGATGAAAAATTATATACCATGTAAACACTAATAAAAGAAAAGGTGGAGTGGCTACTATAATATCAGACAAAATGAACTTTATTTATTTTTCTTTTTCAAAAACTTTTAAGTTCATGGTTACATGTGCAGGTTTGTTACATGGGTAAACTCGTGTCATGGGGGTTTGTTGTATAGATTATTTAATCACTCAGGTATTAAGTCTAGTACCCATTAGTTATTTTTCCTGATCTTCTCCCTCCTCCCACCATCCACCTTCAGATAGGCCCCAGTGTGTGTTGTTCCCATCTATGTGTTCATGTGTTCTCATCATTTAGTTCCCATCCCTTGTAAGTGACAACATGCAGTATTCAGTTTTCTGTTCCTGCATTAGTTTGCTAAAGATAATGGCCTCCAGCTCCATCCATGCCCCTGAAAAGGACATGATCTCATCTTTTTTATGGCTGCATGGTATTCCATGGTATACATGTACCACCTTTTCTTTATCCAGTCTATTGTTGATGAGCATTTAGGTTGATTCCATGTCTTTGCTATTGTGAATAGTGCTGCAATGAATGTACACGTGCATGTGTCTGTATAATACAACAATTTCTATTCCTTTGGGTATATATACGCAGTAATGGGATTGCTGGGTTGAATGGTATTGCTGTATTCAGTTCTTTGAGGAATTGCCACACTGTCTTCCACAATGGTTGAACTAACTTACACTCCTACCAACAGTGTAAAAGCATTCCTTTTTCTACCCAGCCACACCAGCATCTGTTATTTTTTGCCTTTTTATAATAGCCATTCTGACTGGTGTGAGGTGGTATTTCATCATGGTTTTGATTTGCATTTCTTTAATGATCAGTGATGTTGAGCTTTTTTTTTTTCATATGCATATTGGCCACATGTGTTTTCTTTTAAGGAGTGTCTGTTCAAGTCTTTTGCCCACTTTTCAAAGGGGTTGTTTTTTCTTGAAATTTATTTAAGTTCCATATATTAATAGATGCTGGATATTAGATCTTTGTCAAATGCATAGCTTGCAAAGACTTTCTCCCATTCTGTAGGTTGTCTGTTTACTACGTTGATAGTTTCTTTTGCTGTGCAGAACCTCTTTAATTTAATTAGATCCCCTTTGTTAATTTTTGCTTTTGTTGCAGTTGCTTTTTGTGTCTTTGTCAAGAAATCTTTGCCAATTCCTATGTTCTGAATGGTATTGCCTAGGTTGTCTTCCAGGGTTTTTATAGTTTTAGGTTTTACATTTAAGTCTTTAATTCATATTGAGTTAACTTTTGTATATGGTGTAAGGAAGGGGTCCAATTTCAGTCTTCTGCATATGGCTAGCCAGTATCCCAGCACCATTTATTGAATAGGGAATGCTTTCCCCATTGCTTGTTTTTGTAAGGTTTGTTGAAGATCAGAGAGTTGTAGGTATGCGGTCTTATTTCTGGGTTCTCTATTCCATTCCATTGGTCTACGTGTCTGTTCTTGTACCAGCACCATCCTGTTGTAGTCACTGTAACACTGTAGTATAGTTTGAAGTCGAGTAGTGTGATGCCTTCAGTTTTGTTCTTTTGCTTAGGGTTTCCTTGGCTATTTGGGCTCTTTTTTGGTTCCATATGAATTTTAAAATAGCTTTATTTAGTTCTGTGAAGAATGTCAATGTTAGTTTAATGGGAATAGCATTGAATCTATAAATCAACTTGGGCAGTATGGCCATTTTAATGATATTGATTGTTCCTATTCATGAGCATGAAAGGTTATTCCATTTGTTTGTGTCATCTCTTATTTCTTTGAGCAGTCATTTATAGTTCTCCTTGTAGAGATTTTTCACCTCCCCAGTTAGCTGTATTCCTAGGTATTTTCTTCTTTTTGTGGCAATTGTGAATGGGAGATCATTCATTATTTGGCTCCCAGCTTGACTGTTGTTGGTGTATAGGAATGCTAGCAATTTTTGCAGACTGATTTTGTATCCTGAGACTTTGCTGAAGTTGTTATCAGCTTAAAAAACTTTTAGGCTGAGATGATAGACTTTTCTAGATATAGGATCATGTCATCTCCAAACAGGGATAGTTTGACTTCCTCTCTTCCTAAAATGAACTTTAGAGCAAAGAAAATTGCCTGGGATAATTAAGGATGTTATATAATCATAGGAGAGTTAATTCATCAATAAGATTAAAATCTCAAATGTGCATACACCTAACAAAAAGCTTTAAGTTTCATGATCACTTTCCAATAATAGAAGAGGAGGAACTCTTCCAACTTATTACATAATGCCAGTATTACACTGATACCAAAACTAGATAGCTCAAGAAAATTAAAATGCAGACCAATATATTTCATAAGCATAGACAATTCTCAACAAATTATTAGTAAATTAAATTCATAAATATATAAAAATAAGAACACACTACAACTAAAGTGGGTTCATGCCAGGAATTCAAGGGTGTCTCAACATTCAAAAATTACTTAATGTAATTCTGTATATCAAGAGTCCAAAGAAGGAAAACCACATGATCACGTAAATTGATGAAGTAAAGCACGACAAAATTAGAAATCTATTTATGATAAAAATCTCAGCACACTAATAGAATGAAACTTTCTCAATCTGATAAAGGCATCTACAAAAAACCCCTAAAGCTAACATCATATGTAATGGTGAAAGACTGAATGCTTTACCATTAAAATCAAGAAAAATGCAAGGATATCTACTCTCACCACTTTTATTTAAAATCGTGCAAAAAAATCCTATCCAGTGCAATAATGCAAGAACAAAAAAAATAAAAGTTGTATAGATTGCAAAGAAAGAAATGAAACTGTCCCTATTCACAGATAACATGATTTTCTATGTAAAAATCCAAAGGAATCTATGAAAAACTGGTAAATAAGTTGAGTAATGCTACAGGATTCAACATCAACACACAAAAAACAATCATATTTCTATATATTCACAAGGTAGGACTGGAAACAGAAACTTGAGGAACAGCTCTATTAACAATAGCTAATAGCTCAGAAAAAGACATGTTTAGGTATAAATCTAAACGAAATGTGTCCAAGATCTGTGTGATGAAACCACAGATATGTACATGGAAGAAATCAAAGAAGACTTAAATAAGTGGAGGGACACCCTGTGTTCATGGATGGGAAGACTCAACATAGTAAAAATGTCAATTCTCCCCAAATTGATCTATAAATTTGATGCAATTCTCATAAAAATTCCAGAAAGGGTTTTAAATAGACATTTACAAGCTGACTAAAATTTGTATGAAAAAGCAAAGGAACTAGGGTAGTTAAAACAATTCTGAAAAAGAAGAAAATGGGAGGACTCACTAACTGATTTTAAGACTCACTATCAGGCAACAGTAATCAATCATGTTGATTGATTGGCAAGTATTGGCAAAGGGATAGGCCCATGAATCAATGAATATAACAGAAAAGCACATTTTATCTGATATAAGTATAGTCACCTCTGCTCTCTTTTGGTTATTAATTGCATAGAATATCTTTTTCCATCCCTTTACTTTCAGCCTTTGTGTATTTGTAAGGCTAAAGTAGGTCTCTGGTAAGGCAGCATATAGTTGAGTTAAAAAAATACATCCAGCCACTCTATGTCTTTACTGAAAAATTTAATCCTTTACATTAAAAGTAATTCTTGATAGGTAAAGATTTGCTACTGCCATTTTGTTGTTGTTGTTTTTATTTCTGGTTTTGTAGATCCTTCTTTCTCTCTTGTTTATCTTTGTGTTTTGTTTTATTTTTTATTGCTAAGTTTTGATTCCCTTCCCTTTATCATATCTATATCTGTTACAGTTTCTTGCTTTGTGGTTACCATGAAACATCTTATAGTTACAATAGACTATTTTTTCTTGGTAATAACTTACCTTCAGTTGCATACAAAACTCTAGACTATTACCCCCTAACTTATATTTTAGATGTGCAATTTATATCTTTTTGTAATATATATATTTTTAACAACTTATATCAATCACTATTATTTACCATTTTGACTTTTAGCCTTTATACTAGAGATATACATGTTTTAGGGGGGTGGAGCCAAGATGGCTGAATAGGAACAGCTCCAGTCTACAGCTCCCAGCATGAGTGATGCAGAAGACGGGTGATTTCTGCATCTCCAACTGAGGTACCAGGTTCATCTCACTGGGGACTGACAGACAGTGGGTGCAGGACAGTGGGTGCCGTGCACCAAATGTGAGCAGAAGCAGGATGAGGCATCGCCTCACCCAGGAAGCTCAAGGGGTCAGGGAATTCCCTTTCCAAAGAAAGGGGTGACAGACAGCACCTGGAAAATTGGGCCATTCCCACCCTAATACTGCGATTTTCCAATGGTCTTAGCAAACGGCACACAAGGAAATTATATCTGCACCTGGCTTGGAGGGTCCTACGGCCACAGAGCCTCACTCATGGCTAGCACAGCAGTCTGAGATCAAACTGCAAGGCAGCAGCAAGGCTGGGGGAGGGGCACCCGCCATTGCCGAGGCTTGAGTAGGTAAACAAAGCGGCCAGGAAGCTTGAACTGGATGAAGCCCACCACAGCTCAAGGTGGCCTGCCTGCCTCTGTAGACTCCACCTCTGCGGGCAGGGCACAGCCAAACAAAAGGCAGCAGAAACCTCTGCAGACTTAAATGTCCCTGTCTGACAGCTTTGAAGAGAGCAGTGGTTCTCCCAGCACGCAGCTGGAGATCTGAGAATGGACAGACTGCCTCCTCAAGTGGGTCCCTGACCACCTAGTAGCCTAACTGGGAGACACCCCCCCAGTAGGGGCAGACTGACACCTCACACGGCCAGGTACTCCTCTGAGACAAAACTTCCAGAGGAACAATCAGGCAGCAACATTTGCTGTTCACCAATATCTGCTGTTCTGCAGCCTCCGCTGCTGATACCCAGGCAAACAGCGTCTGGAGTGGACCTCCAGCAAACTCCAACAGACCTGCAGCTGAGGGTCTTGTCTGTTAGAAGGAAAACTAACAAACAGAAAGGACATCCACACCAAAACCCCATCTGTACTTCACCATCATCAAAGACCAAAGGTAGATAAAACCACAAAGATGGGGAAAAAACAAAGCAGAAAAACTGGAAACTCTAAAAATCAGAGCACCTCTCCTCCTCCAAAGGAACGCAGCTCCTCACCAGCAACAGAACAAAGCTGGACGGAGAATGACTTTGATGAGTTGAGAGAAGAAGGCTTCAGATGATCAAACTACTCTGAGCTAAAGGAGGAAGTTCAAACCCATCGCAAAGAAGTTAAAAACCTTGAAAAAAGATTAGACGAATGGCTAACTAGACTAACCAATGCAGAGAAGTCCTTTAAGGACCTGATGGAGCTGAAAACCATGGCATGAGAAATATGTGATGAATGCACAAGCCTCAGTAGCTGATTCGATCAACTGGAAGAAAGGGTATCAGTGATGGAAGATCAAATGAATGAAATGAAGTGAGAAGAGAAGTTTAGAGAAAAAAGAATAAAAAGAAATGAACAAAGCCTCCAAGAAATATGAGACTATGTGAAAAGACCAAATCTACATCTGATTGGTGTACCTGAAAGTGACAGGGAGAATGGAACCAACTTGGAAAACACTCTGCAGGATATTATCCAGGAGAACTTCCCCAATCTAGAAAGGCAGGCCAACATTCAAATTCAGGAAATACAGAGAACACCACAAAGATACTCCTCGAGAAGAGCAATCCCAAGACACATAATTGTCAGATTCACCAAAGTTGAAATGAAGGAAAAAAATATTAACAGCAGCCAGAGAGAAAGGTCAGGTTACCCACAAAGGGAAGCCCATCAGACTAACAGCTGATCTCTCAGCAGAAATTCTACAAGCAAGACGAGAGTGGGGGCCAATATTCAACATTCTTAAAGAAAAGAATTTTCAACCCAGAATTTCCTTTCCAGCCAAACTAAGCTTCATAAGTGAAGGAGAAATAAAATCCTTTACAGACAAGCAAATGCTGAGATTTTGTCACCACCAGGCCTGCCCTAAAAGAGCTCCTGAAAGAAGCACTAAACATGGAAAGGAAAAACCGGTACCAGCCACTGCAAAAACATGCCAAATTGTAAAGACCATAGAGGCTAGGAAGAAACTGCATCAACTAATGAGCAAAATAACCAGCTAACATCATAATGACAGGATCAAATTCACACATAACAATATTAACCTTAAATGCAAATGGGCTAAATGTTCCAATTAAAAGACACAGACTGGCAAATTGGATAAAGAGTCAAGACCCATCAGTGTGCTGTATTCAGGAAACCCATCTCACGTGCGGAGACACACATAGGCTTAAAATAAAGGGATGGAGGAAGATCTACCAAGCAAATGGAAAACAAAAAAAGGCAGGGGTTGCAATCCTAGTCTCAGATAAAACAGACTTTAAACCAACAAAGATCAAAAGAGACAAAGAAGGCCATTACATAATGGTAAAGGGATCAATTCAACAAGAAGAGCTAACTATCCTAAATATATATGCACCCAATACAGGAGCCCCCAGATTCATAATGCAAGTCCTTAGAGACCTACAAAGAGACTTAGACTCCCACACAATAATAATGGGAGACTTTAACACCCCACTGTCAACATTAGACAGATCAACAAGACAGAAAGTTAACAAGGATATCCAGGAATTGAACTCAGCTCTGCACCAAGCAGATCTAAGAGACATCTACAGAACTCTCCACCCCAAATCAACAGAATATACCTTCTTTTCAGCACCACATCTATTCCAAAATTGACCACATAGTTGGAAGTAAAGCACTCCTCAGCAAATGTAAAAGACAGAAATGATAACAAACTGTCTCTCAGACCATAGTGCAATCAAACTAGAACTCAGGATTAAGAAACTCACTCAAAACCGATCAACTACATGGAAACTGAACAACTTGCTCCTGAATGACTACTGGGTACATAAAGAAATGAAGGCAGAAATAAATATGTTCTTTGAAGCCAACGAGAACAAAGACACAACATACCAGAATCTCTGGGACACATTCAAAGCAGTGTGTAGAGGGAAATTTATAGCACTAAATGCCCACAAGAGAAAGCAGGAAAGATCTAAAATTGACACCCTAACATCACAATTAAAAGAACTAGAGAAGCAAGAGCAAACACATTCAAAAGCTAGCAGAAGGCAAGAAATAACTAAGATCAGAGCAGAACTGAAGGAAATAGAGACACAAAAAACCCTTCAAAAAATCCATGAATCCAGGAGCTGGTTTTTTGAAAAGATCAACAAAACTGATAGACCACTAGCAAGACTAATAAAGAAGAAAAAAAAGAAGAATCAAAGAGATGCAATAAAAAATGATAAAGGGGATATCACCACCAATCCCACAGAAATACAAACTACCATCAGAGAATACTATAAACACCTCTATGCAAATAAACTAGAAAATCTAGAAGAAATGGATAAATTCCTGGACACATACACCCTCCCAAGACTAAACCAGGAGAAGTTGAATCTCTGAATAAACCAATAACAGGCTCTGAAATTGAGGCAATAATTAATAGCTTACCAACAAAAAAAGTCCAGGACCAGATGGATTCACAGCCGAATTCTACCAGAGGTACAAGGAGGAGCTGATACCATTCCTTCTGAAACTATTCCAATCAATAGAAAAAGAGGGAATCCTCCCTAACTCATTTTATGAGGCCAGCATCATCCTGATACCAAAGCCTGGCAGAGACACAACAAAAAAAGAGAATTTTAGACCAACATCCCTGATGAACATCGATGCAAAAATCCTCAATAAAATACTGGCAGACTGAATCCAGCAGCACATCAAAAAGCTTACCCACCATGATCAAGTGGGCTTCATCCCTGGGATGCAAGGCTGGTTCAACAAACACAAATCAATAAACGTAATCCAGCATATAAACAGAACCAAAGACAAAAACCACATGATTATCTCAATAGATGCAGAAAAGGCCTTTGACAAAATTCAACAACCTTCATGCTAAAAACTCTCAATAAATTAGTTATTGATGGGACGTATCTCAAAATAATAAGAGCTATCTATGACAAACCCACAGCCAATATCATACTTACTGGGCAAAAACTGGAAGCATTCCCTTTGAAAACTGGCACTAGACAGGGATGCCATCTCTCACCACTCCTATTCAACATAGTGTTGGAAGTTCTGGCCAGGGCAATCAGGCAGGAGAAGAAAATAACGTGTATTCAATTAGGAAAAGAGGAAGCCAAATTGTCCCTTTTTGCAGATGACATGATTGTATATCTAGAAAAATCCATCGTCTTAGCCCAAAATCTCCTTAAGCTGATAGGCAACTTCAGCAAAGTCTCAGGATACAAAACCAATGTGCAAAAATCACAAGCATTCTTACACACCAATAACAGACAGAGAGCCAAATCATGAGTGAATTCCCATTCACAATTGCTTCAAAGATAATAAAATACCTAGGAATCCAACTTACAAGGGACCTGAAGGACCTCTTCAAGGAGAACTACAAACCACTGCTCAATGAAATAAAAGAGGATACAAACAAATGGAAGAAAATTCCATGCTCATGGGTAGGAAGAATCAATATCATGAAAATGGCCATACTGCCCAAGGTAATTTATAGATTCAATGCCATCCCCATCAAGCTACCAATGACTTTCTTCACAGAATTGGAAAAAACTACTTTAAAGTTCATATGGAACCAAAAAAGAGCCTGCATTGCCAAGTCAATCCTAAGCCAAAAGAACAAAGCTGGAGGCATCATGCTACCTGACTTCAAACTATACTACAAGATTACAGTAACCAAAACAGCATGGTACTGGTACCAAAACAGAGATATAGACAAACGGAACAGAACAGAGCCCTCAGAAATAATGCCACATATCTACAACTATCTGATCTTTGACAAACCTGATGAAAACAAGCAATGGGGAAAGGATTCCCTATTTAATAAATGGTGCTGGGAAAACTGGCTAGCCATATGTAGAAAGCTGAAACTGGATCCCTTCCTTACACCTTATACAAAAATTAATTCAAGATGGATTAAAGACTTAAATGTTAGACCTAAAACCATAAAAACCCTAGAAGAAAACCTAGGCAATACCATTCAGGACATAGGCATGGGCAAGGACTTCATGTCTAAAACACCAAAAGCAATGGCAACAAAAGCCAAAATTGACAAATGGGATCTAATTAAACTAAAGAGCTTCTGCACAGCAAAAGAAACTATCATCAGACTGAACAGGCAACCTACAGAATGGGAGAAAAGTTTTGCAATCTACTCATCTGACAAAAGGCTAATATCCAGAATCTATAATGAACTCCAAGAAGTTTACAAGAAAAAAACAAACAACCTTATCAAAAGGTGGGCGAAGGATATGAACAGACACTTCTCAAAAGAAGACATTTATGCAGCCAAAAGACACATGAAAAAATGCTCATCATCACTGGCTATCAGAGAAATGCAAATCAAAACCACAATGAGATACCATCTCACACCAGTTAGAATGGCAATCATTATAAAGTCAGGAAAAAAACAGATGCTAGAGAGGATGTGGAGAAATAGGAACACTTTTACACTGTTGGTGGGACTGTAAACTAGTTCAACCATTGTGGAAGTCAGTGTAGTGATTCCTCAGGGATCTAGAACTAGAAATACCATTTGACCCAGCCATCCCATTACTGGGTATATACTCAAAGGATTATAAAACATGCTGCTATAAAGACACATGAACATGTATGTTTAGTGCGGCACTATTCACAATAGCAAAGACTTGGAACCAACCCAAATGTCCAACAATGATAGACTGGATTAAGAAAATGTGGCACATATACACCATGGAATACTATGCAGTCACAAAAAATGATGAGTTCATGTCCTTTGTAGGGACATGGATGAAGCTGGACACCATCATTCTCAGCAAACTATCGCAAGGACAAAAAAACCAAACACCACATGTTCTCATTCATAGGTGGGAATTGAACAAGGAGAACACATGGGCACAGGAAGGGGAATATCATACACTGGGGCCTGTTGTGGGGTGGGGGGAGGGGGAAGGGATAGCATTAAGAGATATACCTAATGTTAAATGATGAGTTAATGGGTGCAGCACACCAACATGGCCCATGTATACATATGTAACAAACCTGCACATTGTGCACATGTGCCCTAAAACTTAAAGTAAAAAAAAAAAAAAGAATGGGAAGAAAAAAAAATAGCAAGTGATTGGGAGGGTGAGGCAGTCTGATCACAAGGTCAGGAGTTTCAGACCAGCCTGACCAACATGGTGAAATCCCGTCTGTACTAAAAATACAAAAATTAGCCCAGTGTGGTGGTCCATGCCTGTAGTCCCAGCTACTCAGGAGGCTGAGTCAGGAGAATCGCTTGAACCCAGGAGGTGGAGGTTGCAGTGAGCCGAGGTCACGCCACAGCACTACAGCCTGGGTAACAGAGCAAGATTCTGTCTCAAAAAACAAAAAACAAAAAATACAGCAAGTGAGATAATATGGGCAAATACTACCAGAGGGTTCAGAAACATTAGTTTCCTATCTTTCTTTTTCCCAGGATACTGGGAACAGTATGGAAAATGCTTTTAGAATAGTGATGTGGAAAAAAGAAGTCCTAAGTTCAAATTCTACCTCTGTTCTTCACTAGCTGAACAAATATGGGCAAGTCATGCATTTTCTTTAAGCCTGAGTTGTCTGTCTGCTTAACATGAGTAATAATATATATTCATTCAGTTAGATAACATATGCTCAAATTATTGAAGAAATAAACAATTCAATCAGAAAAAAGAGATATACATGTTTTATAGAGCATCATATGCATGTTGAGGTATTTTGGATTTGTCTATGTACTTACCTTTACCAGCGAATTTTATACTTTCATATGTTTTCATGTTGGTAATTATAGCCCTTTAATTTCTACTTGAAGAACTCCATTAAGCATTTTCTGTAGAGCAAGTCTAGCGGTGATTAAGTCCCTAAACTTTTGCTTGTTTGGGAAATACTTTATTTCTCTTACATTTTTAAAAGACAGCTTTGCTTGATATAATATTCTTCGCTGGCAGTTTTCTTTCAATACTTTGAATATATCATCCCATTCTGTCCTGGCCTGCAGAGTTTTTGCTGAATAATCTGCTGATACTCTAATTGAGATTCCCTCATATATGACTTGATGTTTTTCTGTTATTCCTTTTAAAATTCTCTGTCTTTGATTTTTGACAGTGGAATTATAGTGTGCCTCAGTGAGGACCTCTTTGGATTAAATCTGTTTGGGGACTTTTGAGCATTATGTATCTGGATGCTTACATCTCTTCCAAGACTTGGAAGTTTTTAAGCAATAATTTAATTAATTAACTTTCTGCCCCTGTCTTTTTCCTCTTTTCCTTCTGGAACTCCCATAATGCAAACATTTGTTTGGTTAACGATGTCCCATTAGTCCCTTAGTCTGTCTTCACTCTTTTTCATTCTTACTATTTCTTTTTTCCTCTGACTGAACAATTTCAAAAGATCTGTCTTCAAGATCAGAGATGCTTCTACTTGATCTAGTCTGCTGTTGAAGCTCTATATTGTCTTTTATTTGACTCATTGAGTTTTTTAGCTCCAAGATTTTCATTTGGTTCTTTTTTATGACATCTTTCTCTTGTTAAATTTCTCTTTCAGACAAGAAATTATTTTACTGATTTTGTGAAATTTTCTATCTGTATCCTCTTGTATCTTGCTGAATTTTCTTAAGATAATTATTTTGAATTTCTTTTCAGTCAGATTGTAAATTTCCTTTTCTTTGGGGTCAGCTACAAGAGAGTTGTTTTCCTTGGGTGATGTCATATTTCCTTTCTCATGTTTCTTGTGTTCCTGTGTTTATGTCTGCAAATCTAGTGGAATAATCACCTCTTACAAACTTTACAGAGTGGCTTTCATACAAAAAGACTTTCATCTGCATGCTGGTTTTGGTGTGCCAGTTGTGAAGGCTGTGGTGGCTCTGGTTCTCAGTACATGCAGAGGTATAGACTTTGTGCAGCTTCTTCAGCTGCAATCAATGTCAGTGAAGACTGTGGGTGCCTCAGTGGCCTAGGCTGTAGGAATTTGTGGCAGTGATGGGGGCAGCACAGATTGTTAGGGTCTTTGGTGGCAAGACCTTTTGGGGTCCTCCTATTCTAGTTTTCCCCACAATGGGCAGACTTAGCCAAGAGAGTTCCTCTTGGTGTTAGGTCTGACATGGCCTACAAGCAGTTTCAGCAACAGTGGGTTCCAGGGTTCAGGTGCTCAGAGTAGCTGTGTAGTTGGGGCCCTAGCCTCAAGGATCTTGCAAGCCTATTGTGGCACCTGGGTCTTGGGTGTAGGCTCCCCCTCTGAGTTAGGGTTGAATGCAGATTGCCAGAGTCTGTGATTCCGAGAACCCCAGCCCCCAGCAGTTTGAGCCAGGGTGTCAGGCTGTAGTTGTGATTAGGACCTTGGGAGGTAGGGCACAACACTGGCCTGGCTCTAGGGAAGAAGAGATGCTCTGGAGATTTGGGCCTGGGGAGCAGGGTACAGCTGCAACTCAAGAATTAGAGCCAGTAGGGCATAGCGGCAACTCATGTCCCACATGATAATGCATTGTTAGAGGTGAGTCTGGACTTTGGGATGGTAGGACTCAGCAGTAACTCAGACTCTGAGGCCAGGTGAAAGTGGCAGCAAAAGTCTGGAATGGTGGAGCACAGTTGTTGCTTGGGCCCTGGGTGGCAGTGACTCTATTCCTTAAGGAGGAGGTGTCTCAGCAGCTCAGACTCTAGGAAGCTTGTCCAGTTCCAGGGAAGCAGGGTACTAGAGCTGTTTGGCCTGTAGTGTGGGTGTCTCAGATCAGCCCCTGCTCTGTTTTCATGGAATGTGGGGTACCATGTCAGCTCAGCTTCTGAATACATGGCTGCTCAGCTCAGCCAAGTAACTGATTCCCTGGGAGGTGGCATGCTGCTTCAGCTCAGGCCCAGAATGTATGTGGCTGCTCTGAGTGGCCAAGACATTGTTTCCTTGGGATGCAGTATGCTGCTGAAGCTTAGGCACAGGGGAGCGTGGCTGCTGTGGGTGACCAAGGTACTGTTTTCTCAGGACACAGGGTGCCATTTCAGCTTGGGCCCTGATGGGGCAGTGACTGGGAGGCATAAATGGAGCAGCTTTCCTAAGACACTGTTTCCCTGGGGGGGCAGTGCATGGCTTCAGCTCAGGCCCTGAGGGGCAGGGTGCAGCAGCGACTGGGGGGTGGGTGGTGGTTATATGAGGAGTCCCACAGCTGCTTGGCCCCATAGGGTAGGGTGTAGCAGCAGTTTGGCTCATGGATGGGCAGATCATTTGGCAGGGGTGGTTCAGTAGTGGCTTAGCCTCAGGGATGGAAGGGTGCCATGGCCACTTGCTCTGGAGAAGGACACACTTCAGCAGTGGGTCAGTTCCAAGATGGTATAGTGCGGGAGCCACATAGGCCATGTGGCTGGTGGGGCCATAATGTGGCTCCTTCTCTGGGGAGAGCACAGGATTCCCTTCTGAGATTCCCAGAGGGGCTTAGTGCCTTCAAAGACGGCAGGGGTCCCAGTGGTGAGGACTGTAGGTGTCCAAGGTGTTGATAAGGTCTTCTGGAACCCTCTTGCTCACCTTTTCCCTGCAGGGAAAGGTTCCTCCTTGTTCTGAGCTGATCCTGGTTGGGTAATAGGGTGGGGAGGCCAGGCGTTTTCTTCAGTTCTCTACCGCGTTGCCTGAATTTATGTGCTCTACGGAGTTTCTGCTACTCCTTTGAAGTACTCCAGCACGCTCCTTCAGTTATTTTCATCAAAATAGAGTTGTTCATTGTTTTGGCTGTCTTTGTAGAGGAGATGAGCAGTAAAGGCTTCTAGTCAGCCATCTTGCTGACATCACTCTGCTGAGATTCATTTTTTTGACAAGAGTCAAACCACAGAAACACACATACACACTCACACCTCATAAATAAGGGGAAAATTCAAAATAGAGATGAGAAGACATTGCAATGTACTTAAGTAACGGTAGATTAGTGTACAGATCCTACAGCTCTTTTAGGACAAGTATCTAATAAAGTGGAAAAATATATGGGCAGATCATTTCATCATAAAACAATGGATAATAAGCCATGTGAAAAGATGTCAACCTCACTCATAATCAGTGAAACGCAAATTCAGATAACAATGAGATACAATTTTATATTCATCTGATTAGCAAACATTTAAAAGTTGTAAAAAGTAAAAACAGGAAAACAAAACAAACTCCAGCAATTTAGAATATTTTTCGGTGTTGCAGATCCCCATCCCCCGACCCAGGACTTCACTCTGATAAACAATCCAGAGAAACCTCTGCACAGAGGCACAAGAGCCCTGCATAAATATGTTCATGGGCGCAGTGTTTGAAGTGCTTTGTTCTTTAAAAATGATGATTAAATAGTGGTATGTTCATGCCATGAAATTATATGTAGCAATTACAATGAATGAACTCCTCAAACCGTTCCCCTCAGTGCAGAGCCATCTGCAGAAGCCAGTGGTGGCCACTTTTGCTTATAGCTCATTTCTTTGCTATCTGCTATCTCATTTCTTGCATTGCCATCTACTTTTAGTAGAGTATGTGGGTTTTGCACTCAGAACAAAGGAATTTTGTTTTAATTATGGCTCGTCCACTCTGTTAATTTTTTGGTCATGGACAACTAATTAAATTTTTCTGTGGTTCTTAAAATATCCATAAGACTATCTGTTATCTATAAGAGATGAAAAGAAGTTGTGAAATCTGCTCAAGTTTCATCCCGGATATGGGAAAGGACAACTGCCATTGGTTTTAGAAGGACAGTGATAGAGAAAAATAAATTTGCCTTGATGATTGCAATATATGATCCATTTAATCAATGCCCTTGTTACCAGTATATTTTCAATCCAAGAGTTACAAAAAGTATAAAGGGTAATACAATATTGTTTTTCTAGTTAAAATCTTATTATGGAGGTTGAGGAAGAGTGGTCTATTGCTATTCAAAAGTGATTGTTGCAAAACAATGGGAATATACTTAACACTACCGAACTATATGCTTAAAAAGGACTAAGATAATAAATTTTATGGTACATATATTTTTACCACAATTAAAAATTAGAAACTCAGGCTGGGCATGGTGGCTCATGCCTGAGGATCATGCAGGAGGATCACTTGATCTCAGTAGTTGAGGCTGAGGCAGGAGAATGGCGGGAACCCGGGAGGCAGAGGTTGCAGTGAGCCAAGATTGCACCAATGCACTCCAGCCTGGGCAACAGAGCAAGACTCCATCTCAAAAAAAAAAAAAAAAAAAGAGAGAGAGAGATTTGAAGGGCTACTATGTGGAAGATGGAATTTAACTTTACTTGTGATTCCAAAGGTAAGAATAAACATGGACACATTGAAGCCTGTGAGAGACTGAATTTGGCTAAGTGTAAGGAAGAATGTACAAAGGTGAGGAAGTTGACCAGGGGACAGTGATCTCCCTTTCCCCAAGGCTTTCAACAGGAGCTGAGTGGCCATGCTTGGGTGCTGGTGCAGAGAAGTTCTGTGAATCAGGAAAGGACTTCAAAAGTTGCTTCCAAATCAAATATCCTATCCTGGATTGTCCAACCTTTCCCCCCTGCCCTCTTCTGAAGAACCCAGGGACGCACATCCCAATGCCTACAGGACAGGGGCGTAATGTGCAAATAGGGGCTGGCTTGGTGAAAAAAATGCATGTTCCTTCTAGGGGAGGGTCTACTGCTCAGTTCCCACTGATTTATTTATTTACTTATTTTTTCAAGACAAGGTCTTGCTGTGTCACCCAGGCTTGAGTGCTGTGATGCAATGATGGCTTATTGCAGCCACAACCTTCCAGGCTCAAGTGATCCTACCACCTCAGTCTCTCAAGTAGCTGGGACCAGAGGCATGTGCCACCACCCCTGGCTAATTTTTTATTTGAGACAGAGTCTCCCTATGTTGCCTAGTCTGGTCTTGACCTCCTGGGCTCAAGCCATCCTTGCATCTCAGCCTCCCAAAGTGCTAGGATTACAGGCATGAGCCGCCACGCCTGCCCTCATCCCACCACTGATTTTATTTGAAAGAATGTTGACATATATTTTGAACTTTCCGAAAAGATAAAAATTTAGATTTTCATGTGAATCCTACTGATGTTAACCTATCAGCAAAATTTTTGTAAAAAATCAACCACTATGTTGCCCAAATACCTTAACAGGTGGCAACCAATTTGTGAGCTCTGTATACCTAGTCAGATTATTTCTCTTTCCTGGTTCTTCTTCAGCTTTACAGAGCAGTGACATCATCTGTAGAAGATGGTAATCTTTTTTAGGTTTTAGAAGTGTATGGTTAGCCTCTTTGTTTTTATTAAAATATTTTATTTTATTTTCCTTGGAATTACAGCAATCAATATGTGCACACAAAACTCATACACAAATATTTCATAACAGCATTATTCATATGAAATAGGCAAAAGGTGTAAACAAACCAAATGATCATCAACAGATGAATGGATGAGAAAATGTGGCATATTCACACAAAGGAACATTAGCCATAAAAAAGGATGATAAATGATCCATGCTACTACATTGATGAAGCTTCATTATTAAGGGAAACCAGCTGGACACAAAAGACCACATGTTGTAAGAGTCCGTATATGAAATGTCTAGAAAGGCAAGTCTATCAAGACAAAAAATATATTTCTGCTTGCCTGGAGTTGAGGGTGAGAATGAGGAGTGATTGCAAACTGGCATGAATTATTTTGGGGGGTAATGGAAATATTCTAAAATAATGGATGCACAAATCTATGAATATATTAAAAGCTATTGAGTTGTACATATTAAGTGTGTGAATTGTATGATATGTGAATTATACCTCAATAAATCTCTTAAAATAAATATATGCTAATTACAACAAATGAAACCCTGTTGTTGTATGAAGAAAAAGTTATCAGTCTTCCCACCTCCTTCCCATATTCAACACCCCTCAACCAATAAGCAGCATTACCATAATCAGTTTGAGGTGAACCTTTCCATCCTTTTCTTTATGCTTGTATAACCACACATATGCACCTATGTTTGTGTTCCAGTAACACTAACTAGCATTGAGTGAATGTCTACCATATGCCAAGCACTTTATATACACTGTGTCATTAATCTGCAAAAGAGAACCACAGGATAAGCCATAATAATATCATCTTACTGAAGGGAAACTAAGGTGCAAGCATATCAAGAAAGCTCTTCAAGGTCACAAAGCTAGTAATGGCACAGCTATTTCTTCTATATTATATTATGACCCCTTAAGTGGATACAAATCATCTTAAATGTTTCTTGTTTTATTTCCTGTGGTATGTAGAACAGCACTCATTGCTCAGTAGATAATTTTTGAATGAATTGATAAATAAATGCATTTTCCTTTTAAATTTATTGTGAATAAAAAACAGAGTATAAAGAAATAAATGTTAATACATGAAGTATACTATGTTTGAAAGCAATGTAAAGCATCAAACTTGTCTTCAAGGAAATTAATACTGAATTGAGTCAATGAGACACATAATGGGGATATATGGGCATTATATGAGGAGCTCAGGGAAGGGAGAGATTTGAGGTGGTGAATATGGTAAGCTCCAAGAGAGATGAGTCATTTAGTCTGAGTGGTGAAGGACTGGTAGGATTTGGGTGAAAGCAGAAGTGTGCAGAATCCCAGGATGCAGAGTCATATGCACCAAGGGAAGAGTTGGGTTCTGAGGACACTGAATAGATTCATTTGATTTAGGCAGAGCATGGGGAATAGAGAGAATTGAGGACTCAAGGCAAATCTTGGTTTTTCAGTCAGTTGATTTTGATTGCCACATTGGGGCCCGGAGGTCTCCAAGGTCATACTTGGTAAACAATTTTCCCCTGACTCCTCTTAAGGAGGCCTTGGCAATGCTCCTGAGGCAGGATTGCTGCTGAGCCTAAGGGTCAGGAGGTGGTTTGGTAAGACACCAGTTCCTCCACGGCTGAGTTGGTTAGGGTGAGTGAGCGAAGGTGCCTGGGGGAGGAGGCTCCTGCCTGGCGGGCAATGGGCCTTGGGCAGTTTTGCCCTGCCCAGGGAGGGAGCCTATGTAACCATCGCTTCTCCAGGACAGGAGCCCTGGGTAAGTACTGACTGGATGGGCCACTCTGACTTCATAGTTAAAAATCCAGAACCTCCTCCTTCACTCAGACAGAGGATGAAATTTTCTGGCTTGAATGTGGCTCTATTATAGTCAGACAATATCATTAAATTAGTAGACTGGCATGAAGAATATGAAGAATATAGTACTACATGCTGTTGAAAATAATTTAAACATGATTTCTGATTTCAATAAGTGTGTTATTTTTAGAAGTCATGCATAGAAATATTTCATTGGGCAATTAGTGGGGGATTCCTTTGTGTAGCATCCCCAGTTTGAGTACATAGAGCTATTAAATTCATGCAAGAACATATTTTATCACTGATAGAGTCTTTCTCTGCCACTTACTCACCCATCCATTCACTCAACTGAATACAGCATGTCAAACAATTTCTTTTTTTTCTCTCCAACTGCATAAACTTAGGGAAATAAGTTTATTTATGTAAAGTGTGAAGCTTAAAATCATTTTGAAGTTTCTTCTAAATCTCAAATTCCATGATGCCAGGGCTCTAGTATGCAAAGTAAATTATAGGCCTCAGTGCCAAGAGACAAAGAATAGAGCAATGGTCAGAGCTGTTGAAGATAAATCCCGGAAGACTTCTTGAAGAACTAGATGACAGAAGGGAATCTATCCTATTTGGAGACAATGTTCTGTGTGGGAATCAGAGTTAAAACAAGCTACTTGTTAATTCAGTCTTTGTTAATTAAGCTTACTGAACTCAAACCGGAGTTTTCTGGTCTTATACTGCGAAATGTGGGTTATTATTAAGTATTTTATAGAAGCGTCTTAAAGATCACCCTAAAGTCTCATGGGGTATGATGAGATATTGTGTGATTCCTCAGGTGAGAGGAACAGGGTCAGGTGTGTCTGCAGAAGAGGAGGATGTGATGGAGGATGAGTGGAAGGAAGGATGTTTTGGTGCCTAGTAAGTTTTGATAGTGGGTTTAATCTTCCAAAAACTAATAAGAGAGCTACTCATGCAGGTGTAATAAAAGGGTGAAATAAGATTCAAATTTAAGGATGAATGTTCTACCAATGAAGGTGTTTCGGAAGGAGTTTGTAGAACCTCCTCCTTCACTCAGACAGAGGATGAAATTTTCTGGCTTGAATGTGGCTCTATTACAGTCAGAAAATATCATTAAATTAGTAGACTGGCATGAAGAATATGAAGAATATAGTACTACGTGCTGTTGAAAATAATTTAAACATGATTTCTGATTTCAATAAGTGTGTTATTTTTAGAGGTCATGCATAGACACACAGATGTACACACAGACACAGACACGCAGAGATGAGCACGGACCAGGCATAGTGGTTCATGCCTATAATCCCATTGCTTTGGGAGGCTGAGGCAGCAGGATTGCTTGACCCCAGGAGTTCAAGACCAGTTTGGGCAACATAGGGAGACCCAGTCTCTACAAAAAATACAAAAAATTACCCAGGCCTGGTGGTGTATGCCTGTAGACCCAGCTTACTCAGGAGGCTTGGTGGGGAGGATCACTAGTGCCACTGCAGTCCAGCCTGGATGATGGAGTGAGACCCCCGTCTCAAAAAAAAATGCAAAAAAACAAAACCCAGAGAGATGAGCACAACCATTGGTCTTTGTAATGCAGAAATTTAACAATATCAAATATGCACATGAAATGCAGGAATGCTTTATGTGTGCCAAAGGGATAAGAATAGGGGTTAAATTTTAAAAAGATAAGTTAAGATTAGAAAACTATCAGGGTTGGATGCAGTGCTCAAAACCACCTAACAAATGTTTCAGTTAATGCAGGAACATTTTCACATCATCCTGAAAAGTCAACTTTCACCCTCTGAATGAGCAGGAAGCTTTCGAGTGATGGGAATATCACATTTCCAGGCAGCCTAGTTTTAGACTGCTTCATTTTATTCACTTTTTTTTTTTTTAATATTGAGCCACAATCTGTTCTCTTGTAAGTTTCGCCTGTTGGTCCTAGTTTTGACCTTTGTAGAAGAGCAATGCAAGTTCACGACATTCTCCACATGAGATCTTTCAACCTGCGTACAAGCCATCAGGCTTGCCTTGGAGACTTCTATTTTCTGATCTAAAAACTCAATTAAAATGCCTAATTTGATAAATATGCTATTCACAATTACCCTGAATTGAGCATTATGTATTGTATACATCTAAATATGTCTCTGTACCTCATATATATGTACAATTATTACGTGCCAATTAAAATAAAATATAAAACACCTATTTCTCATGCAGGGTGTTTCCAGATGACTTATTGGTTTTATTGTCCTTTGATCCTATGATTTTTGTCAAAGTTTTAATCCCAGTCTAATGCCAAGAACATGCCAAATACTCAAAATTCTGTCTGACCAGTGCAGAGTGTGGGCAATGTATATATTTTTTAAATGTGAGGTTGTGCAGGGAACATCTGTGACCACCTAGGGAAGGCTGAGGTGAAAATGAGTCAGTAGGGACCACTTACATCAGCCTAATGTCATTTTCTTTCTTCGCTGAAATGACAGATTTGGGAAACAAGAAAGGATATGGACGTGTTGAAGCTATCACCTTCACTTGAGGAATATAGAACCCAGCAAAGCTTGCACAGCATGGTCGTTTCCTTCAATATTTGGAGACCATCCGTGGGAAGGGGGTTTGTGCTTATTCTGGGTGCTCCCCTGATGAGACCTTCCCCACTTCTCAGCGATGTGCACTGAGACCCTCCACATACGGCTGAACGCTGCCCAATATCCAAGCGGGTCTGATCAGGACTTGCATTATGGTCAAACCCTCCTGGGTTATGAGACACAGGACTAGGAATATGTCTGAAGTCCAACGTTGGTTTCACGTGAGGAGTAACTTGCATCTGCTGTTGAAAGAGAAAAAGAGCTCCCAGGGAGTTTGTAAGAAGAGTTTTTGTTTTTGTGATTACAAGATACGGGCATGAAGCAGACCCCAGCAACTGGGCCCAGAGGGAGGATAGAGAAAAACTCTATGAGGGATTGGGGTGGTCTCAGAACTGCAGCAGCTGGTCCCTGAGTGTAGACCTGTGGTGAGTGCAGGGAGGGCACGCTGAGCCCTGAGGAACGTAGGGAGTCACTAGCCTCAGGGAGGACGAGGTTTAACGCAGCGTTTCAGGTTGGCACGGCATGGATGTTGCGGTTCTGGAGATCAGCCTATTCTCAGCAGGACCCAGGGAGTTAGGAAGCAGGACATTTCCCCCAAAGAAGGAGCTCACAAGCAGGCAGGCAAGTCCCAAGGCCTTGGTTAGGCAGAAGAAAACCAATAGGATGGAGAGGAGATAGAAAAAGGTTTAACCTAGACACTGTGTACACATTGGGACTCTCTCCTGATGCACCAGATTCCAGATAAAAGGCACCAGACCCCAGGGAAGCAGCACTACCTCCACATCCCGCTTTCCAAATAAGACTGAAACCGCAGCAAGATGTCATGCATTTCTAAGGACCTGTCAAAGAGCTGGTGCAGGTGAGTGCCTGCATGCTCCAGGGACTTAACGATCAAGCACTTTTATGTGCTAGTCATTGTTCTAGGCACTGAAATTGTAATTGTCAACAAGACAGACCCAGCTCTACTCTCTGTGAGCTCTAGGGTGGTGGGATAGGGAAATAATTCAATCAGAAATTAAGTTGAACGTGGTAAATTGTATATGGGAAAGTACAATGCACCATAGGATCATAGAGCAAGGACTTATCTCAGGCGAGAGAAGTCAGAGAATACCTCTTAGAGAAGACTTTCTTAACCTTAGCCCAATTGACATGTTTGGGCCAGATAATTCTGTGTGTGTCATCAAGGTGGGAGGGCTGTCCCGTGCATCGTGTCCCGTGCATCGTGTCCCGTGCATTGTGGGATGTTTAGCAGCACTGCTGGCCTCAAAGCACTGAATGCCAGTTGGATCAGTAAAAAATGTCTACGGACATTGTCAAATGTCCCCTAAGGGGTAAAATTGCCCCGGGTTGAGAGCTGCTGTTTCAGGTAAAGTGCCCTGGAAGCTGTGACTTGAATCAAGTGGGATATAGAGGCTGATGACCAGTTTTCTGGTTTTGTAAACTGTAGAGTTTGTTGGCGCCCTTCCCCTGGCACACAGGGGGCAAGGCAGATTTTTAGGGGGAGGATGATGAGTTCGGTATTGGACATGCTGAGTTTCTGGTGCCCAGGACTCATCCAAGAAGAGATGATCAGCAAGGAGGTGGAGTTTTAACAGGCAGGTTTTGTTTTTAACAGGCAGGTGTGGTGAGGCCAGCAGATTGGGAGATGAGTGGCATTTAAAAGGTGGTTTGTTACTCACAGTTCCCGAAAGGAGGGGGCATGATGGACGGTGCAGGGCCATACGGTGAGGCACACAGATAGGCAGAGAAGCAAGGAAGCCATGGACAAGAGCCTTTGCTGTGGTTCCTCTAGGAAGGAACTGGTGAGGCAGGGGACGCTGGCCTCTCATGGCCTGGTTGAATAATCTCAGCACACTCTGGGATACAAAGGCGGTCCCTTCCTGTCTGCTTCTTGGCCCTGTGGTGATTAGCACAGGTCGACAGTGGTCCACAGTGTGAGAGCCCAGTAAAGATACTGTGAATTTTTGGTTGGGGTGTGGGTCTGGTTGATTTGTTTGCATATGAGAGCTGTGCTTTCAGGCTAGCACTAACCTTAGGAATTGGCAGTCCTGGGAGAGGCATCCCTCTGGGGTCAGCAAAGCCTCAAAACATCGGAGCATCAGAAATACAGAAAATTAAAAGGCATACAGATGAACTATAGAAAATCAAAAGGTTAATACAGATGAACTATAGAAAATCAAAAGGTTAATACAGATGAACTATAGAAAATAAAAAGGTTAATACAGATGAACTATAGAAGTCTGAAGTTCGGGAGACAGATTAGAGGTAAAGAGACACATTCGGGTGTTAGCAACACAGTGACCGTGTGATTCAAGCTCTGGGGAGGATGGCATTTCCAGGAAGAATCTGTAGATGCTAAGAGAAGAGGGTCTGGGATGGAACCCAGAAAAGGAACCCAAGCATGTAAGAGATGCACAGAGAAGGAGGAAGACATCGGGGAGGGAAGGGAAGAAGTTTTTTTGTAGAAAAGGGCAGCAGTCAACACATAAAATGCTAGGACAAAGACAAAGCCTGAAAATGTCCACTGTGTTTTCCTATAAAATATGATGAGGGCAACATCTACATAGCAGTGGGCTCAATAGTGAGTGTGAGGGGAGGTCGCGGAAACACCAAGCACAGGCAATTCTTTCAATACACTTATCTCTGAAGGGGAGGAAAGAGATGGGGCAGTAACAAAACAGGGAATGGGGTGAGAGGAGATGTTTTTAATTGGAAAGACTTGACCATCGATCATTTCTCTTGAGCAACAGCCACTAAAGAGGGAAAAGTTAAAGGTGTACTGGCAAAACTGAATTATTCTTTTAAGCAGAATTTATTAATCTGATTTTAGTCATACAGACTCTAGAAAATTGCACGCTTCCGGAATTGGGTACATGGGATGGATAGATAATGAGTTAGGGATATTAGCAAGGCAATGTTTGACATGATGGATCGGGGATTACAAGTACAAGGCACATAAAGATGGAAGCAGGGGGCAGGCAGAAATAAAGGGACACCAGACCATGGATGAGGAAATGGGGCAGGGGCTTCACTACACCAGCTCTTGGTTTGAGATTCTGTATAGGGGATCATCAGATGGTGCAAGGGGCTGTGAGGAAATGACCTTTAGGTGTCTTTCCAAACTGGAGCGGTGAGGTCTTATGTTATGATTTGTATCTAGTCTGAGCTGCATTTGGTGAAATTCAGCAGCCCGTGTGCACTGCTGACTGGTGTTTTGTTTTTAATCAGTGTCCTCCCACGTAATCTTTGTCTTCCGTGTCTTTAGTGAATGTCTGTCAAGTCTGCAGTTTTGGTCTCTTCCATTCTATCCAGCGGACGTTCTGAAGCTAAGTTCAGTTTTCCCAGTTCCACCCTATCTTATTATCTTATCTACTATGGTGGCTATTTATTGCTTTAAGGATTCTTGTTTCACTGTAGTGAAATCCTTTTGGATTACTGTCCTATCATTCGTCATGTTAATTGTATTTCTAAGCTTTTGTTCAATTGGAAAGATACTAAATGTGTCTCTATGTCACCATAAAACTCATCGATAAAAATATAGATCAGGAAGTGTTAGAAACTTCGCGCTGCTAAACCAGAAGCAGGTCGGGCGCGGTGGCTCACGCCTGTCATCCCCGCACTTCCGGAGGCCGAGGCGGGCGGATCATGAGGTCAGGAGATCGAGACCATCCTGGCTAACACGGTGAAACCCCGTCTCTACTCAAAATACAAAAAATTAGCCGGGCGCGGTGGCGGGCGCCTGTAGTCCCAGCTACTCGGGAGGCTGAGGCAGGAGGATGGTGTGAACCCGGGAGGCAGAGCTTGCAGGGAGCCGAGATCGCGCCCCTGCACTCCAGCCTGGGCGACAGAGCGAGACTCCGTCTCAAATAAACAAACAAACAAACAAACAAAAACAAGAAGCATTGCCAATGTATTAATGTCTTCATGTTGCATGGGAAACAAATCTTTCTGGAACATTTGTGTGCATTGAATATGGCGCCAGCTTTAGGAACGTGTTCATTCATTCATTCAATAATATTTGCTGAGAACATTTTATTCACCAGGTTCTGCACTGGAAGATAAGGATACAACGGTAAGTGAAAGACTCAGTTGCATGGAACTTGAAGATTACTGATACAGACAGACAAGTGTTAAAAGTATATGTAACATATTCTTTGTAGCTTACGGAATGTATCGCATCCTTTAATCCCAATCCAAATCCTTTGAAATAAATTGTTTTCTCTGTTTTATAGGTAAGTAAACTGAGACTCACAGAAACAAAATTTCCCAGAATAGATGTCACAGCTGGTCAGCAATAGAGTTGATCTGTAGGGACCGATATGAATGGGAAAGCCATTGTGGTCTGCTATGGTGGTCATTCAAAAAATGGCTTTGATGTATCGGTTAAGCTACATATGAATTACCTCTTTGCTATTATTAATCCACAGTTTATTCATCTTTTCCACAAGGGCATCAAGGGTGGTGTCCAAATGCCTTACTTGAGTCATTGATCTAGCATTGATCTAGCATTGATCCATTGATGATGATCTTCAGTCCAGTAAACTTAACAAAAAGAGGACAGAGTTAATTTGGCAAAAATTGTTCATATAGAGCATATTCTAGGCTCCTTTTCCCTTTTTTGCTTTCTGACATACTTTCTTATAATCCTACTTAGACGTTTTGTCATAAGAAATGTGAACTTTAACGTAGAGCAAATTTTTATGCATATCTCACTTTCACAGTTTATCAAAATATGTTGGTAATCTCAGGTTTTCTAGAAGAAATAAATTTTGATGAGATTTGAAGGGATAACCTCATGTTTCACTCAATGAAATTTATTCAAAATCTACTATGTGCCCTGAATGAAAATATTAATTTAGCACTTTGTGTGTAGCATAAAGAAAGACACTACTTTTTTTTTTCTTTTTCTTTTTTTGAGTGCAGTGGCACAATCTTGGCTGACTGCAACCTCCGACTCCCAGGTTCAAGCAATTCTCCTGCCTCAGCCTCCTGAGCAGCTGGGATTACAGGTGCCCATCACCAAGCCTGGCTATTTTTTTGTTTTGTTTTGTATTTTTAGTAGAGACAGTGTTTCTCCATGTTAGCCAGGCTGGTCTCAAACTCCTGACCTCGGGTGATCCACCCACTTCCACCTCCCAAAGTGCTGGGATTACAGACGTGAACCACCGTGCCCCACTGAAAGACACTAATATTTATTTTACGTTCATTATGTTAGCTACCACTAAGGAGCTCACAGCTCAGAGAGGGACAAAGACATACAAAAAGAATTCCAGCGAGTGTGACAAGTGCAGAAAGAAACTGTACAAAGAGGGTTGGGCTAGAGAGGAGGAAATAACTCTTCTTGGGCAGCTGAGGAATGGATTTAGCCATTGAAGGGAGTGTGTATGTGCGTGTGTGCGTGTGTGTGTGGTATTTCAGGCATGATGACACACCATAGGAAATATATTTGTTGCTAATTGATTTTTTTTTCTTCTCCAAAAGGAGGGATCTACACTCTTCTCAGTCATTTGCTGGTCGTGCGTGGGGTTTCTGGGATTGTATGGGCTGTCCATAGTCGAAAAAAGCAGGTGGGCACCCAGAGGTCAAACAGGGCTCCCAGCCTGGTTAGGCATGGGGGGTAACCCTACTGAAAGAGGCCACCTGCTAGACCAGCAAAGGAGCAAATGGGAGCAACATAGAATAGTAATGCTACCTGTTACATCTGAGTCTTTTAAAAGCAGCTTCCACATTATTGCATTTGACCTTAATCTCATTGCTGTGATACATCATCTCTACTTTTAGGCAAGGAAATGTTGGATCTAAAGGACTGACTGACCTGGGTGAAGTCCTGGAACAAACAGGCAGCAGGACTAGGATTCAAACAAAGGCCATATGATTCCCAAGCCAGTGATTTCCACTCTGAATAAGAGAAGGGAAAGAACACCAGACACAACAAACTGCAGAGCAAAATAGGTAATAAAATGCATGATTTAGTATTCAGGGAATCCTGCGAAATAATGTTGTAGCTTGTGCTCAGTATAGGAGGCATTGCACTTCCTTCTGCTGTTCAGACAGGCAAAAGGCCATGGGAAGTTTCAACACCAGTTTTGAAGATGGCTTCATTTTGGTGGGATTCTCAGATTGGCCGCAACTGGAGCCCATCCTGTTTGTCTTTATTTTTATTTTCTACTCCCTAACTCTCTTTGGCAACACCATCATCATCGCTCTCTCCTGGCTAGACCTTCGGCTGCACACACCTATGTACTTCTTTCTCTCTCATCTGTCCCTCCTGGACCTCTGCTTCACCACCAGCACCGTGCCCCAGCTCCTGATCAACCTTTGCGGGGTGGACCGCACCATCACCCGTGGAGGGTGTGTGGCTCAGCTCTTCATCTACCTAGCCCTGGGCTCCACAGAGTGTGTGCTCCTGGTGGTGATGGCCTTTGACCGCTATGCTGCTGTCTGTCGTCCACTCCACTACATGGCCATCATGCACCCCCATCTCTGCCAGACCCTGGCTATCGCCTCCTGGGGTGCGGGTTTCGTGAACTCTCTGATCCAGACAGGTCTCGCAATGGCCATGCCTCTCTGTGGCCATCGACTGAATCACTTCTTCTGTGAGATGCCTGTATTTCTGAAGTTGGCTTGTGCGGACACAGAAGGAACAGAGGCCAAGATGTTTGTGGCCCGAGTCATAGTCGTGGCTGTTCCTGCAGCACTTATTCTAGGCTCCTATGTGCACATTGCTCATGCAGTGCTGAGGGTGAAGTCAACGGCTGGGCGCAGAAAGGCTTTTGGGACTTGTGGGTCCCACCTCCTAGTAGTTTTCCTTTTTTATGGCTCAGCCATCTACACATATCTCCAATCCATCCACAATTATTCTGAGCGTGAGGGAAAATTTGTTGCCCTTTTTTATACTATAATTACCCCCATTCTCAATCCTCTCATTTATACACTAAGAAACAAGGACGTGAAGGGGGCTCTGTGGAAAGTACTATGGAGGGGCAGGGACTCAGGGTAGGAGGTGAAAAAATGAGCAGTAAAATTTTCTGTAATAGCTCTTCAATCACAGATCTTTCCCTGTTCCTTGGAGGGCAGTTGGTCAGTAGGAAAGCCCTCAGTCATCCTCAGAATTGGTTTTTGTTTTTGTTTTTTGGTGGCGGGGGGAACAGAGTTTCACTCTTGTTGCCCAGGCTGGAGTGCAGTGGCACGATCTTGGCTCACTGCAACCTTGGATTCCTGGGTTCAAGTGATTCTCCTGCCTCAGTCTCCCGAGTAGCTGGGATTACAGGCACCCACCACCACGCCCTACTAATTTTTGTATTTTCAGTAGAGACAGAGTTTCACCATGTTGGCCAGGCTGGTCTCGAACTCCTGACCTCAGGTGATCCACTCGCCTCAGCCTCCCAAAGTGCTGGGATTACAGGTGTGAGCCACCGCGCATGGCCGTCCTCAGAGTTTTAGTCCCTTCCTTGTTTAGAAACTGGAAGTAGGGATCTCTTGGGACTCTTTCTTGCTCAGTGTCTGTGATCACTGTGCAGCCATCAGTAAGTGCTGGTTTTTATCACAACTTTCCAAAGGAACCAGCTTGAGAAGAGGGTGTATTGTGTCCACTTATGGAGAGTGGGATGGGTTCTAGGCAAGACTGAGAGTGATAGAAGATTTAATAGGGAATGACAACACCTTCCCAAGGTCAATGACTCCCAACGTGGTGCCATGCAGATGCACTGTGCCCAGAGGCAGACAGAATGAGTTCCCCCGATTCTAAGTAACTGCGACCCTGCCGTAGACGCTCACATCTCAGAACCCATTTCTAAGGTCTCTAACAGAGGTTATTCATGTCCGATATTTGGAGCAAATAAGGAGATCATAAACAGAGGTACTTCAAGGAGCATGCAGAGTTTCAGGTTTGGATGTCATTTACACACTTGAAGAAAAAGACAAAATCACTAGGGTGGCATTGAGTAAAGGGAGCATAGACTCTTACTAGCTACAACAGGAGTCTCTGTCATGCAGCTTGGTGCCATGGATAAGATATTTTCCATGCAAGAGAGAAGATAATAGAGAAGAAATGAACATATGAATAATGAGCCAAGAGGAATAGATATAGAAAAGAAGAAGGGATAAGGAGGAGTGACAACAATGAAAAAAAGAGATTTCTGTGGAAGGCAGTGGTGGGAGGCTCAAGAGGCTGAAGTGTGAAGACAATGAAAAAAAGAGACTTCTGTGGAAGGCAGTGGTGGGAGGCTCAAGAGGCTGAAGTGTGAAGACAATGAAAAAAAGAGACTTCTGTGGAAGGCAGTGGTGGGAGGCTCAAGAGGCTGAAGTGTGAAGACAATGGGTACCGGATATTCCAGCACTGTCACTGCATCCCACATTCTTGGCTTCATATCAAAGCGTGGCGTCCTTATTAATCAACTTTCACGGTCTTGGTAAATTTCATGTTGAGGGAATCATCTTTTATTCCAATAACAATAACTAATATTTGTTTATATCTGAAAAACCTTTTTGCATACAATGTTATTAGTCCTTACAGCTGTATTGTGAGAGTGAGTTTTGTTATAGTCCCTATTTATTCACAAGAAACTGAGGTTCAGAGAGTTTAAGTCACCCAAGTTCACATAGCAAATATGGGGTGAAGCTGAGATCTAGGTTTCTGAAACCCTAAATCCAACGCTTACTACAACATCCTCCTAATTCTCTTTTTCTGGAAGGACATTTTTAACAGGGAAAGATTGAGTTTGGACAGAAGGGTGGCTGGAGAGAGAATCAAGTGTGAGCTTAGTGTACTTTCATAGTTTTGCTTCGGTTAATTCTGGCCAGGGTTCTAGACTCATCTGAGTTACAAATTCTTTGGTCAGAAGGCTTTTTTTTTTTTTTTTTTTTTTGCACAAAGCTAATGTGTCCTGTAAAAATAGTTATCATTTATTGAACCCTTACTATAGTTACAGTCAAGCATATTTCAAACACCATGCTATATAATATACTTCACCGACACACTAAATTCCTACAATATGGAATGTAGGTGCTATTTCCCTCCTCCTATTAGTTCTGTTGATCTAGAGACTGAAAGTTAGATAATCATTTTGGGTGATTTGCCTCAATTACCCAGGCACTAAATGGTGGGTCAGGATTTGAATCTGGCTTGTTTTATTCCAAATCCTACCCAACTAGCCACTACTTAAAGACCAATTAAGAAATGTTTATTAGCTCAAGGAACTAAGCAAGAAACTGCCTGGAACAAATGATTTTTCTCCCGTATCCTTGTCTATCTAAGTCTAAACAATTCAAGCATATACATTACCCTAATGAAGAAAAGGAAACTATTTGAACTAGCAGGAATCTAATAAAATTGTTTTGTGGTTAATGTGTTCTTTTTTCATTTGGAATGCAGAGATATAGCTTCCTAATTACATTAAAGGGAACATGTCTCATAGCTGAGCAATTTTAAGAGGTCACTGGTACAGTTGGGTACACACAGCCATCACTCTTGCAAGTCAGGTCTTGTGGAAGGCAAATGCCTTCTCCATGGGAACCTACATCCCTTGGGTCTCCTTGGACCTTCTCATCCGTAACAGTGGCTAATTGATCTTTAGAGATTTTTGTGTCCTCACAGCCCTCCCAGAGCCAGTGAGTTGTTCCCAGGGTCCTTCAGTTACCCATCTGAGAGAGGAAGTGAGAGGTGACTTAATGAATGGAAAAGAATATAAACACCTTGGCACCTTTGTCTTCTAGAGCCCAGCTGGCTGCCATTTGAAACCTGTTGCCATTTGTTCTTTACCTGCTAAACCACCTAAGCAGAATTTCGAGCTAGAAATAAGGATGCATATAAGGCTTACAACTGGAACATTTTTATGGAAAAGACAGGGAGAAATAGGAGAAAGGAGATTGGGAGGATTGGTTCTCAAGAGAAAAAAATTAAATTGATGATTTTGTAGAGAAGAAAGAATAAGAACTTGGAGACATTTCAGTGAGTATCAGGGAAAGTGGTTACTGTGGATTGAAAAAATATTCCTGGACTTTATAACACGCACACGCACGCATATGTATAGATATAGGTACAGATATCTATATGTAGATACAGACATACATATCCAGATATAGATAGAGACATATATGTGTATATATATCTAGACCCAGTATATCTATATCTATACATTAGACATACATGTGTGTATCTGTCTAGATACACATGTATGTCTATATCTATATATATACATATACATCTAGATACATATATGTATATGTATATATCCAGATATGTATACATATATATCTAGATATATACATAAACGATACATATATATCGTGTGTATATATATGTGTGTGTGTATATATACTCATATATATGTGTGTGTGTATATATACATATATGTGTGTGAATATATATACACATATATATGTGTGTGTATATACATATGTGTGTGTGTGTGTATATATATATATACATATATATATATTTCATTTGTTTTATTGGCATCACTTGTCATTGAAGTCCATAGGTAAGATCAGGAACAAGACAAAGATGCATACTTTCGCTACTTGTATTCAACATAGAATGAAATTTTATTGCTAGAGCAATGAAAGCAGATGAAAGAAATAAGACACCCAAATTGGAAAGAAGATGTGAAATTGTCTCTGCAGGTGACACAATCTTATATGTAAAAAATCCTAAAGACTCCACCAAAATGCTGTCAGAACTAGTAAATGAATTCAGTAGTCACAGGACACAAAATCAACATAAAAAATGAGTTGCATTTTTATACAATAACAACAAACTATTCAAAAAAGAAATCAAGAAACAAATCCCATTTATAATATTTAAGAAACTCCTACAATGAAGTCAATAGCAAACAAAAAAACTCACTAAGTAACCATTTAAAAATGGGCAAAGGCGGCCCGGTGCGGTGGCTCATGCCTGTAATCCCAGCAATTTGGGAGGCGGAGGTGGGTGGATCACTTGAGGTCAGGAGTTCAAGACCTGCCTGGCCAACATGGAGAAACACTGTCTCTACTAAAAATATAAAAATTAGCCGGGTGTGGTGGCAGGTGCTGTAATCCCAGCTCCTTGGGAGGCTGAGGCAGGAGAATTGCTTGAACCCAGGAGGCAGATGTTGCAGTGAGCCGAGATCGCACCACTGCACTCCATCCTGGGCAACAGAGAGAGACTCCATCAAAAAAAAGAGAGGGGTGGGCAAAGAATAGACATTTAGACATTTTTCCAAAGAAGTCATACAAATAGCCAAGAGATATGGAAAGAATTCTCAACATCACTAATCAGGGGAATACAAATCAAAACCATAATGAGATATCACCTCACACCTCTTAGGATGGCTATTACTAAAAAGCCAAAAGATAGTTAAGTGTTGGGCAGGGTGTGGAGAAGGGAATCTTTGAACATTGTTGGTGGTACAGCCATTGTGGGAAACAGTAGGAAAGTTTCTCAAAAAATTAAACGTAGAACCACCATATTATCCAGCAATCCTACTTTTGGTTATACATAAAGCAATATCTAAAGGAAATTACTACCTTGAGAAGATATCTGCACTCCCATGTTCATTGCAGCACTATTCACAATAGCTGAGATATGGAAACAATCTAAGTGCCCACCAAGAGATGAACGGATAAAGACAACATGAGACATGAATATTATTCAGACGTAAAGAGGAAGGAAATCCTGTCATCTGCAATAACATGGATGAACCTTAGGATACTACGCTAAGTAAAATAAGCCATACACAAAAAGACAGATACCACATGATCTCATTTATATGTAGAATCTTCAAAAAAAATCAAACTCCTAGTAATAGAGAGTAGAGCTATGGTTAACAGGGGCGGGGGTGGAACAAAAGGGAGATACTGGTCAAAGCGTAAAACCTTCAGCTATAAAGTAAGTACTGCAGACCTATTGTATGTTATGATAACTGTAGTTAATAATAATGTATTGTATACTTGAAATTTGCTAAAAGAGTCGGTGAAAGATATTCTGACCACAAAAATGGTTAACTATTTGAGGTGATGGATGTTAATTACCCAAATTGTGGTAATGATTATACAATGTATATACTGTATATATCAAAATATTACGTTGTACACCCTAAATGTATGCAATTTTTATTTGTCAAAAAAATTCATAGTGAGTTCCTCAAAGGGTGATTGCTTATTTAGGAGATAAATTTAAGGAGGAGGCATTCTTTAGCTGCAGAAGGGAAGGTTCAGATACACCCATCTGGCAATCAGCAACAGGAGGGAAGACCCCTGTCTTCATGGAGGTGGTGGTGATGAGCTTGTGTGTGTGTTGGGGAGAGGAATGAGTGTGTGTGCACGTGTGCATGTGCTGTGTGGGAGTACCTTCTCAGAGGCCCAGTGTGACACTAGGAGACTGAGTAGCAAGAAAGGACCCTAAGTAATGTTCAGCACTCGTTTCTTTCATCTTCACTCAATCTCTATCCTTTTGTACGTGTAAGAAGGTTGCTAAACCTCTCTCCCTAAACCCTTTTCTTGCATCTTGATGCCAGAAATGCCTCATCATAAATCAGTATCTGAGCCAGAAGAATATTAAGAGAAGAGTTGCCTTTGCCCTTATGGAGTCTTCCATCCGTATCAAATTCTTTTCAGATTTTTAAAAGGCTTTACAGGTTTCATTCTAATTCTTTCTGGGGCTGATATAAGAGAGCTGAGCTATGACACTTCTTTTATTACAACCCAACCCAAAGCTTTGCTTATTTATCATTTAACTCAAGGACTGGGGATGCCGTTCTCTTCAACAAAGATGTGAGGAAAGAGGGGAATATTCAAAAAATAATGACAACAACAGAAGGCACATTATAAGGAAAAGTTAGAGAATGCTTTTATTGTATCTTGATATACAAATATTATTATTTAAAAGATATGGAGATCAGTGGTTTTCTCTGCCATCTGGCTACTGAGAAAGAAAACCTTGAGTCAAAGATGGTTTGGCACTGGACATAGGGAACGACTTAGCTACGAGTGTGCGGTGACTCTGAAACAGCCATAAAGGGCAGCTATGGCCTCTCCATTACAGATATGGGCAGAACAGGTTTATAGGTAGTAATGTGCAGAGAATGTCAGAGCTGTCATCTGATATGACTTACAGTCCAAGTTCCCTAGGAACCCGAATAGACAAGTGTCCTTAGCATTGATGTACAGAAATGAAGAACCAACAAAGCCACTATTTTGACATCAATACCAGCATCGTTTTGGTAGAAGAGGCCCAATATTTAACAGGTTTATGGCTAACGACCATACTTAGGAATTTATTCAACAAATCTTTATTTCATGACTGCCACATATCAGGGAATTTTCTGGGAGTTGGGACCCAGCCTTTTACTGTGGGGCTCACCATTTTTCTGTGGGCATACAGTCTGCAACCAATCTCCACTGGAATTTCAAAGAGGGAATTACGTTGCTCAAGGTTAAACATTCCTCGAGTACTTTTTTGATACATTTTCACGGCCCAGGAGAGAATTTGGTCATATGTGGTTAAAATAATTTTGAGGTCTACATTATTGTTGCTGTCACTTATAACATGAGACTTTGCCATCCTGGGAGGCATATGTGGGAGACACTGGAGAACTAGACGGCTCGTGCCCTCAGTGTCTTGGCTAGTCGCCCCCTTCCGGAAGGGAAGGTCTCCCATTCAGCATATGCTATTGCTGTTCTTGGGCTTCTAAGCTTCCCAAAGAAGATGTCAAGATATTTTCCACTGCAAGGGTTTGTGAAAACCCTCATATGTGACATTAACTGACAGTAGAAGGACCCGGGATAACTTCTAGGGTGTATTTGTATAACTGAGTTCAAGGATACTCCATACAACTTCAGTGAGAAAAAAATCTAATTTACAGAGAATTATTTGAGGAATATTCCTTTATTCTTTTCCTGAGCGTCCACTTCCTAATCCCCAGACTGCCATCCAGGACAGCTTCATTCGGTCCTTGTTGAATTGCTTTTGCCACATTGAACTGTGCTTTAGTAGCATGGCGTCAATATACATTAAAGGAAACAACTTTGTAAAACCCGAGCTGTGTTTGCTGTAAAGACATTGAGATGCCTTTAGGAATACCAAGGGGAACATTTCTCTCTGGTGTCATTACCAACAATATTTATGCACTTTTAATCTTTAAAACTCATGGACACTGTAGTTTATGTAGCTAACATTGTCTCCTTCCACACTGGACTCTTGAAATCCAAGAGTGGAATTCATATCCTATGTTTTCAAATGTACAGCACCTTGTAGGTTTCCTTTTTGGACTTGTCTATGCTTGCAGGTTTCACATCACCCTTTAACCCTGATTCCTAGTTTACTAGTTTTCTTTACTCACGTAGTAAAAACTGTATTTTATGTATTACTGAGAACATCTAACTTTTTCTCTGAATGAACTAGGGATATAAATAAAGAAAGTCTAATGGTTTACTCAGAAAGAAAGAGGTCTTGCTATGTTGCCCAGGCGGGTCTCAAACTTCTAGACTCAAGCGATCCTCCTGCCCCAGCCTCCCAAAGTGCTGGGATTACAAGCGTGAGCCACTTCACCCAGCTAATATGTGGACTTAAATATATATTTTTTAAAATATATATATATTTATATATTATAAATACATATATAAATATATATAATAAAATATAAGTTTATATAAATATACACATACATATATATATTTTTTATTTTTATTTTTATTTTTATTTTTTTTTTTTGAGACAGAGTTTCACTCTTGTTGCCCAGACTGGAGTGCAATGGCACGATCTCGGCTCACAGCAACCTCTGCCTCCTGCGTTCAAGTGATTCTCCTGCCTCAGCCTCCCGAGTAGCTGGGATTACAGGCATCCAGCACCATGCCCGGCTAATTTTTGTATTTTTAGTAGAGACGAGATTTCACCATGTTGGCCAGACTGGTCTCGAACTCCTGACCTCATGATTTGCCCACCTCGGCCTTCCAAAGTGCTGGGATTACAGGCGTCAGCCACCACACCCGGCCTAAATATATATGTATATTCCAGCCCTTAATCTGGAAAGCTACTGCTTAATTCCAGGACTTATTACCAGACAATTAATAATTGACAATTATTCCGTATCAGTTCAAACTGCTCTTCATTTTTGATGGCTGTTTTTATTCCATGCATGCATGTACCATACTTTATGTAACCAATTTAACCAATCATTTCGGTTGATGAGCATTTCAGCTGTGTCCTGCCTTTGCTCTCACAAGCAACACTGCAATGAGTAGCCTTGGATATACATCATTTTGTACACTTGTGAGAGTATCTGTATGCTACATTTCTACAAATGAATTGCTGATTCACAGTATTTGTCATTAATAATTTTGATAAAGATCACAAATTTCCCTCAATAGAGTTTGTTCCAATTTACACTCCCATGAGTAAACTTTTTATTTTATTTACTATTTATTTTACTTACAAAACTGAAAGTGAAGGATGGTGTTACGGAGAGACTGAATTTGCATTTCTCTCATCATGACTGAGGTTGAGATCTCTTCCTAGTTTTAGAGTTGTTTGTATTTCTTTTTCTGGGAACTTGCTCATCACACCTCATTTTATCTATTGGCTATTATTCTCATTCACAGAAGCTTTTAATATATTGGGAAGTTCAGCTCTTTATGAGATAAATTTGTGAGTTGTAAATACTTGTTACAATTTTCAATTTAACTTTTGACTTGATTTTGCAGGTTTGTGATACATAGGAGTTGATTTATGAATCTTTTTTATGCTTCTTGGTTTTATGTTAATGTTTTAGAAAGACCTTCCTGCAGGGTCAATAAGGAATTCAGCCATGGTTTAATTTAGTTATCGTTTTGATTCTTTTTTACATTTAAATCCTTGATCCATTTTGAATTTGTCCTGGTGTAAAGGACAAATATGTGTCCAAAATTATTCTTTTTTTCAGATGGCTAACTAGGAGTTCCAACAACCTGTCTCGTATAATCTGTCTGTACTTTATTGGCCTGTGTTACACCATTATCACATACTAAATTCCACAAGAAAATGGGTCTATTTATAAACTTTCTTTACCATTCCACAGATCTATGTCTTCAAGCATTCAAGTCACAATGTTTAAATTATTGAGTTTTAGAGTCTATTATACAGTAAACCATCTGGAAGGAGTAGTATCCCCCTCATTCCTCTTCTTTTTAAAAAGAGATTTCACGACTTTTCGTGTTTATTTTCCACTTAACCTTTAATATGAACTTATCCAACTCCACAGTAAAATCCTGCGGGCATTTTATTAGGATCATGCCACACTTTAGTATTAGGAATTGTCTTTATTTGTCTTAGCTAATGGTTTTGGCTTGAAGTCTACCTTGTATCGTATTAATATCCTAAATATTTTATTTTTATTTTTATATTTAAAAATTTTAAATTTTTTAAATCAGAAGAGAGTGCAATGCAGTCCTTCAAAAATTATGCAGTTGAGTTTCCTACATTTGGGGAAATCATGCGGGTCAGCATATCCGGAGTGCAATGGTTGAGGCTTGCCCTGGAAAACCACCTTCGTGATCATGGTAACTCCTGCCGGGTAAAAATACTGCTTTCTTTTGTTCCCATTTGCCTGATATACCTTTGATGACCTTCTTTTTTTCCAATCCTTTCTTAGTCACAGTGCCCAAGATGAACTTTACTTCGTTACCCAATCTTGAAAGCATTTTTATTTTAATAGGGAAGTTAAATATTTTTTTTTATATACTACTAAATCTTTTTTTTTTTTTTTTTCAGACAGAATCTCACTCTGTCACCCACGCTGGAGTGCAGTGGTGTGACCTTGGCTCACTGCAACCTCTACTCTCTGGGTTCAAGCGATTCTTGTGCCTCAGCCTCCCAAATAGCTGGGATTACAGGCATGCACCACAATGCCCGGCTAATTTTTGTATTATTAGTAGAGATGGGGTTTCACCATGTTGGCCAGGCAGGTCTTGAACTCCTGAGCTCAAGTTATCCACCCGCCTCGGCCTCCCAAAGTGCTGAGATTACAGGCATGAGCCACTGCGCCCAGCCAATACTATTTTGTTTTTTATTAATTCATTTACATTTAGTGGTATGATGTATATTTGGACCTAACTATATTATTTTATGCTATGTTTTGTTGTAGATTTTTAAAAAACATTCACTATGCTGACTATTGTCTTTACCTTCTTTTTTTGTGTGTATATTTCCCTGATGGAAGAGAGATATGTCCTAATGTTTACTTGTATAATAATACATTTATTTAATAATTTAGTCTTTTGTTTCCTTAGAAAGTATCTGTAAATTTCCTATTTTAAGCAATTAATAAATTAATAAGTTTCTTTTTATCTCTTCACTCTCGTTCACTATTTAATTTTATTTTTAGTTGATTGCGTCAACTTTATTAATGTTATTCTTTATACTCAAATGTGCTTATGACTCTGTTGGCTTGTCAGTTTTAATGAGACACTTTGCTCCTAGCTATTAAAATAAAAAAAATCAGTATACTTACTCTATTAAGCAATTTTTTTTCATTTTGCTTTCTCAAAGTGTGTTGAATATGGCATTTCAACATTTTCAAGACATATAACATTAGCATTCTCTTCTGTCTCCCTATTTCTCATATTGGCTTTAGTTTGGTCTGGTAGTAAAATTCAGTGTGTACCATTAATTTCTTGGATGTAGATTTTTAGGCCGTCTCTGGACTCATGGGGAAAATATTCCTATAGTTTTAAACATGTTCAAACTTTGATGAGTGTGAAATTCTTAGGTCACATTTTTATCTTAAGGTCACTCTTGCCCTTGGATCCCAGGCAAAAGGAGGACCTCTGCCCTAGCCCCATGTCTCAGGGTATCCATACTTTGGAGTGCCTTCCTCACTCACAGTATGCCCCACTGTTTCCCACGGCAACCGTGCCATTTTACATTCCCAGCAGCAATGCGTGGCATTCCAGTTTCTCCACATTCTCACCAACACTTGTTATTTTTTATCAGCCCTGTGAGTGGGAAGTGATATCTCATTGTGGTTTGCTTTTGCATTTCCTAATGATTAGTGATGTTGAGCATCTTTTCATGTCCTTGTTTGCTATCTGTATATCCTTTATGGAGAAATGTGTATTCAAGTCCTTTGGCCATTTTTAAATTGGATTGCTTATTTTTGGTTGTTGAGTTGTAGGAATTATTTATATATTCTGGATATTAATCTCTTATCCAATGTGTGCTTTAATTTTTTTCTCCCAATCTGTGTTTTCCTTGCCTTTGTAGTCTCCTGATTGTATCCTTTATTGTACAAAAGTTTTTAATTTTTATGAAGCCCAGTTTATCTCCCATTTATTTTGTTACCTGTGTTTTGGGTGTCATATCCAAGAAACCATTGCCAAATCCAACATCAGGAAGATTTCCCCCAGGCTTTCTTTTCAAAGTCAATAATTTAGCTCTTATAGGTCTTCAGTCCATCTTAGTTAATCTTTTTACGTAGTATAAGGTAAGCATCCATCCCTATTCTTTTTCATGTGGGTATCCAATTTTTTCAGCACCATTTGTTAAAAATTTTCTTTCTCCATTGAATGGTCTTGTCACTTTTGTCAAAAATCAATTGATTTTTGTGAGTGTTAATTTCTGAACTCATTATCCTATTCAATTGGTCTATATGCCTGTCTTTATGTCTGTACCACAGTGTTTTGAGGGACTAGTTTTTTTATATGGACAGGGTCTCCGCAATAAATGTATTTGCCTGGTCCCAACACACCCTGGGCAGCCCTGTTGAGGATTTCACAGGCTCTGCTCTAGGGTCATCTAGTGATGAATACTGCAGAGGCGTCTGAACCAGCCTGATTTATTTGCTCTCTCAAGTGACTTAATCCATTTGCTCATCTGCCCAGTGGGTTCTATATCTTTGAAATAGAGACCATCTTTACCAGGATTGTCTCACTGTTGACCTGATACAGATCAGTCTTCCAGAGAATATGGTATGCTCTTTAAATCACATTTTCAATTCACATTTTCACAGGAGTGCTTTCCAATATTATATTTTTAAATATTTGTTCTGTTTTCAATATTTTTATTTTTTCTTTGAGTACTCCAATTTTATACTGCTTTTCTTCCATAGCTGTTACTCTCTAATTTCTTTAAACTTAATTTATTTCTGTTTTCATTTATTCATTTCTCTCTTTCTCTCTTCTGTGACCCTTGCTGTGTTGTGTCCATGTCTCTTCCTGCGCCCCATCCAATTTTGCCTTCTTTTCTGTGACGATTTAATCTTTTTTTCTTTCCCTGTGTTTCCTGATCTTTGCTGGGTCGCAGTTCACATCCTGTTTTCTTACCTTATGTTCTCTGAACTTTTAAATCTCTTCACTACATTCATGCTTGTTAGAGGTGGTTGCTTCATTATGTCTTTAAAAACTGTTATTGTCCTAATTAATACTTGTGCTAATTTTTCTCCGCTCCTTGGCAACATTTTTTTTCTGGTGTCTTTGTCTATCTGTTACTTACATTTCCTCTTCTTTTGATCATTGTTTCTTTTTTTTATTTTCTTTTTTTCACCCTCTGATCTATTTGAACATGAAATATTTTTCTTACGTTATTTTTGTACATGTATTTTGCTGGTTCCTTTTTATTGCTCATCATTGGAGGAAGCGTGTGTTTCTTTTTCTTTTTTTTGGAGATGGGGTCTCACTCAGTCACCCAGGCTGGAGTGCAGTGTTGCAATCATAGCTCACTCTAACTTCTAACTCCTGGGCTCAAGAAATCATCCCACCTTGGCCTCCCAAAGTTCTGGAATTAGAGGTGTGAGCCACTGTGCCTGGTGGAAGTGTGTTTTTCATTAATAACTATTTGCATGAAGTTTGCATGAGGTGCATCCAGGGCCTTCTTGCAGAATCACTGGATTTTTTTTCTGATGAACTAGGATTTTCTGTGTGTTTGCTTACCTTTTACTTTTCCCTAGCCAAAGGAGACACAGAAGCTATTTTAATTGCTTTGGTTTATTAGAAAAAGTTTCACTGGCCGGGCATGGTGACATGTACCTGTAGTCCCAGCTATTCGGGAGGCTGAGGCAGGAGGATCACTTTAATCCAGGAGTTTGAGGTTGCAGTGAGCTATGATCTACTGCACTCCAGCCCACTGAATGTAGTTCCTATC